>NC_000002.12:147792648-148095678 GCF_000001405.40 Homo sapiens
CAGAAATCTCTATTCCCACCCCAAGCAGGCTATTACTTATGCATCATTGGTCAGCATTCTGTTACATGGCCACCCACCTAAAAGGAAAGCTGAGGCAGTACATTGTCTTTTCCAGCCTTCCTAGTGAAAGGAGACAAGAGAGAAGGGGGATTGGAAATTGCTATGGTTTGGCCAACCAGCAGTGCCTGCCACAGATTCTTCCCTTCCCATCTTCTTTGCCCCCATAAGAACGTCATCTCTGGGAAATTCAGATATATGTGCTCTTTTCACCACCTCTTACCAGTCTACATATCAAAACTAGTTGTAAGGAAAGAATCTGAAACTTAGGGTAAATTCTGAGTGACAATGACAACTCTGGTATTTACATGTTAAAAGAAACCAAAGCCTTAAGCTAGACTATCAGTACCTCTCACCACATGCAACATAACTGACAGCTCATGCAAGATAGTCTTCATTGTCCCTGTGCCCCACCCCAACTGACTGTAGTAATCCAAAATGTTCCTTTCATTTCCAAATGTCCCGTAAAGAATCTCCAGTTGAGAACCATTGAGCTAAAGGAATGGACCTCCAGGGTGTGATGTCAGAAATCAACAGCTGGAGACTGAGTAAGAAATTGGGTTGGGAAAAAATGTGAAAATGACAGCCTAATGAGTCAATAAGACCTCCTCAGAACCCCTGAAAAGTTAATGCCATCTGAAAAAGAAAAAAACCTAAATAACTTCTCATTATTGTCTGCCATTAGCTCTTCAGAAAGAAGAGATCATTTTGGATTCTTATCTGACCAACGTCACTGCATTCCACAATCCATCAAAGACCACAGATGGAATGAGAACAGGGTTGGTGAAGTAAGTCTGACACCCAGTTTAGGGAATGGCCAAGGCAGCAGGCATTTACACACACACATACACACACACACACACACACACATACACAGGTTATGCAGAATTTTTTCTAAGTTATATTGCAATGTCATCTGCATACCATACAGTTCACCCACTTACAGCATACAATTACCGTTTTCTTTCCAAGATGGATTTTACTCGTGTCTGAGGACTGAAAGGTTGGGCTCGATGGTCTCTAAGGGATTCTCCAGCTTGCTGTGCTCTTCTACTTTTCTTATTTCTGGGAGAATAAAGGATGATGGCAAGAGGATTGCCTAGCCCTGCAATCAGTGCTGAGGCAGAGACGCTCTCTGCGTCACCACCCTGTACCCAGTACACTGAGAATGTGGTGCCACTGAGCAATAATTGTAACAGTTATAAATATGTATTTAATAGTACCATCCTGTAAAGAGCTCAAAGATACCATTACTTTACAGCAGTATTTATTTTCAGTGTCTGCATTAAGTAGGTTGGGGTTGAGTATGAATATCTTTACTTCGCTGATAATGAAAATGAAGGAATTTGTTTTAGGTGGCTTAAGCAAAGTTCCATCATTTCTCACTGGGTTAACTGCACTGAGATTTCCAGTGAGAGTAATCTGCTTTTGGCCAGGAGTGGTGACTCACACCTGTAATCCCAGCACTTTGGGAGGCCAAGAAGGGAGGATCACCTGAGGTCAGGAGTTCTAGACCAGCCTGGCCAACATGGTGAAACCCCATCTCTACTAAAAGTACAAAAATTAGCTGGGCGTGGTGGCACGTGCCTGTAATCCCAGCTACTCGGGTGGCTGAGGCAGGAGAATTGCTTGGACCCAGGAAGCGGAGGTTGCAGTGAGTGAAGATCGCACCACTGCACTCCAGCCTGGGTGACAGAGAGAGACTCTGTCTGGAAAAAAAAAAAAAAAGAGTGCTCTGCTTTTATCTCTTAGGAGAATAAACGTTAATGGCAGTTTTCAACAAAATTGAAGAGAAAACATTACAATAAAATACAATTTTTGTACAATATGCTTGATGTGCTCTTTCAAACTTGATCTTTTGTTACTAACAATGAAGATTTAGCACTTATGTAGCACTTTTAATCCACAAAGCACTTTCCAAATGTTAACTAATTAAACATCACAAGCACCCTAGGAATGAGAAAGTTATTATGTTAGAATTATATGCTTTCTGTAACATGTATATTAAATACTTCATTTTGAGTTCATCAGAATATTAGTGACATCGATGAAGGAAATTTCATCTTAACTAATTAATTGTCTTCTTTACATAAGGCAATAGAAAATGTTATTGAAAGTATTGATTAGATATTCTGAAATTTTCATTTAAATGGAATAATATATGGCTTGAGACTCTTAATGTCTATTTGCTGTGACATATTGTGATTTGAAAACACAATAAAGTAATATCATTAACTAGGATCATTTTAAATCAACCATTGAGAGGGTAAAAAAAATCATCAACAGTAATAAAAATTGCTAACATTTATCAAGCCTCCTCTACGCCAGATACATTTGTAAGTGGTTTGCATTCATCAGTTTAATCCTGGGAACAACCTTATAATCAAGTATACAATTATTCCCATTGTACAGATGAGGAAACTGAGGAAGAGAGGTTAAATATCCTAAACAAAGTTAGGGTTAGGGTCCCAGAATCTATGTTCTATAATTATATAATATACTATTAAATTATACAATAACATACTATCAGTCTCAGGACTCTGAGAGGCTGAGGTGGGAGGATCGCTTGAGGTCAGGAGTTCAAGACCAGCCTGGGAAATACAGTAAGCTTCCACCTCTAAATCATTTCTTTGTTTAATTAGCTGGGCATGGTTGTGCACGCCTGCAGTCCCAGCTACTCAGGAGGCTGAGGCAGGTGGATTTCTTGAGCCCAAGAGTTTGAGGCTGCAAATGAGCTATGATCACAGCACTGTACTCCAGCCCTGGCAAAAAAAAAAATAAAAATAAAAATAATGAGATCCCCATCTCTTCCAAAAAAAAAAAGGAAAAATAAAAAGACTTTGCAATCTTAAAGGCCCATGAAAAGTTACTAGTATAAAATCTGTCCAGGCACCCTTAGAAGTCTTAAACATATTTAATTGTGAATATAGAAAATGAGCTAAAGTTCTGGCAATGTTTCAAATTTGTGGAAAATAATGATAGATTTCATATTTTTCAAGATGATTTTAATGCTTGATAATTACTTTAAATGCGCATATATTAAAACTATTCTCCAACACCAACCACAGTTAAATTTTTGAATTTTTAATTTGTCTGTTAATAACATCTAAAAACAACTGTTAAACCTAACACTGAGTGGGGAAAAAAAGCCATATGTAAAATGTTTCCTGTAGATATATAAAGTACGTAAAGATGTGTGTGGTTGTGTGTGTGTGTGTGTTTTACATAATATAAGCTCAGAACAAGTGGAATAAAATACTTATATCAGGAAAGAACCAAATCTAACCTTGGTAAACATATACTGTTTCAAATACCATAGTAAATTCAGTGGGTATTCAATAAGCATTCTTCATGCACACAGCATCTATTGAGCTTCTGCTGTGAATCTTTGGCAAGGAAGAAGAAATTTAAAAACAAAAATTGTCTAGCATCTTATCTATAATTGAGTATATTACTACAAATATCTTCATAGAAAAAGAAATGCTCATTTGCTAGGATTCAATGTGCCAAGATACATGACTTAACATCCATGTTGAATCAAAATAATGTGTCATCCTGCAGTTAATTGTTTCATTTTACTATGGATTAGATGTATACTTCAATTCAAATAGTGACCTTGAGTTTCTCTCACTAAAATGCAGGAAAAAACCTTAAGTTATGAATGTAAATTTCATGTCTGATACTCATGTTATAACAGTGGCTCCATTGTATCATCAATGTTTTAAAAGTCATCTTTGAGAAAGCTACAGAATCCTCACCTCCTTGTTGAACCAACCCAGAGCAAATTCCCCACTCTTTACCCCTCCTCTTGCCATCCTTCTATCACAATGCCCTCCCCACCCCCACCTGCAGAGTAAGAGGCATACCCCTAACAAGCCATGTATGGCCAAAGACACTAAAAATAGCTCGAATTTTAAAAAACACTCTAGCTATTATGTCACTTATTGGGAAGATATATGCATTATACTATTTTGTTACTTTTTCTCCCCTGTAGCATTTCCATCACTTCATATTCCTGGAGGTATAAACATACGCTCAAAACAGTTAAAAACAACAAAATTAGTCATGGAGTTTACAAACCAAACATGTCAATGATATTTTGAAATGCTTGTTAATGTCAGCCTTATTAACCCTCCACTTGGAATAACTCATTTCTTTTGCTTTGTCAGAAAGACAATTAACTATTTTAAAGGTGTATATCACGATAAGAACAATAAAACTTATAATGCTTAGTGCATAGAAAATCAATAAGACATTTTACATTTACCTTCAAGACTGGAAAGTTTTTCTTTCACTTTCCCTTTGTTTTTTAACTACAGCTTCAGGAATAAGAAACATTGTACCTAATATGTGTGTTATGTAAGGCCAGTGGAGACAATACCACTCACAGGCACTTGTAAATCTTAAGCAAAGCTCTCTGATTCAAGATATGGAGCCTAACCATCAAACAAATCTTCCAATTAAGAAGTCAATCATTTTGATAAAAAGCACCAAATTTGGTGATGTTAAAAGAAAGTTACAATAAAAAGAAGGAAATGTGACAAAACAGCAGGGCATACTATATTCTAACTTGTCTCACTAGGGAATTAATGTGCTGTAATGTTTGATCACAATCTAGTTGTTAAGTGAAATGATTGTGTGACAAATGAGTGTAACATGTGTCACAAGGACTATCTAGATAAGGAGTGTTTCATGCCTAAGAAGGACAACATCCTATTTTAATAAATCTATGGTAGGAAGGCATTTGTTTAAAAAATGTTTATTATTTTTTATCATAAAGATAATGTTTTCCTTTGTGTGTCCACGTAGTTGACACTGTATTCTCTATAGAACTATATTTGTATTATATTTGGGAGTATGTATGTATGTAGATTTTTTGTCCTGCTTTTTTCATCTTGCATCTAACACCACATTTTCTTAAGAAAGAGTTTTGAAAATATAATTAAGGGATTCCTATTCTGCTACATAGCCTAAGTCAAAAGGAAGGAAAAGAAAGAGTGAAAAATGGACAGCCAGAAGCAGGACTTTCATTTACCATTCCCCCAAAAAGATTCTTATCACCATTATTGATCACCTCAGGTTTAGGCATATAAACAAGGGTGTGGCATGTCAGTACATCACTCTTTATGTTGCAGATGACAGAAAACCCAACTCAAACTGCCTTAAATAATAAAAGAAATGTGTAAGGCTTAAGGAGTTGAATTTCTTCGGGAAGGCTGGATTTAACAGCTTCATTGATTTTACCAATGAGCCAGTTTATCTGTATTTTCTACATTTTACCTTCCTTGGTGTTGAGTTTATCCTTCAACGCCGTATATTTGCCCCTAGTGGCTTCATCTGCAGCAGCTGCAAGCCTGACGTCTTTATAACACACCAACCAAGAAAAGAAAGACTTCAAAAGTCAAAGACAAATCTTTGGTTCAGGATCTCCTTGGTCCAGGTTGGGTCACATGCCTAACTCTGAACTAATCATGGGGGCCACAAAGATGAGATATCAATAATGCAATAAAGGCCCAGTCCATGACTGAGAATAGTGTCAATCTCATCAACCAAACCATTGGCATGGTTTAGAATGGAGGAAGATACACTGGAAAATGACAAGGATTGTGAGACAGAATAAAACCAAATAATAAAATAGTAAAATATGTACTCTATGCCAGACCAGTATTGTTCCACTGTGGTTGCTTCAGATCAGACCTTCTTGGATCTATTGTCTTCACAAAATAAAATGGGAAATGTTAAAAATGTGCAGATGATTCATAGATGAACAACAAAAATAACTGAAAGTATTTGGTCCTTAGCCTAAGGAAGGAAAATCTGAAATCTGATCTAACAGATTCCACAAGAATTGTTGTTTAAAAAAAGCTACAATCTACTTTATTTTTCCTTTTGGAAGGACAAAGTTGTTGATCTCTTAGATTTTCCCCTGTGACTGAATTTATCTTGCTGTTACACTGCCTGTTCTACCTCAGAGCCAGGCTAGAATGCTCTATTGCTGTATTATGGCTTAGAGTGGCAGAATTAGCCAGGTCTCTTGGCTAAGCATATTGTCACTCACAAGTGTAACCACCACCACAAGGGCCAGCTTCTATTGACTGCTTACTATGAGCCAGACAGTGTGCTAAGAGCTTTACACGCACGCTTTTTAAGGTTCACAACTCCATTGGGTGGTAACTGTTATTATCCTCATCCTATAGATGAGGAAACAAAGTCGAGCTTCTTCTTCAAGGTCACATTCTCGAAGTATTGCAGAATTCTTTCTCCATGTCCAAATGAAAAGCAACATAATGAACCTATTTATAATAAGCCTATTGTAGGGCTCTTGGATAAGGTACTACTTTTTTAAAATAAGAGACTCATTTTTCTTGAGGATATATTCATGTACTCTTTGAGGATAGCTACCAAGTTTTATGCTCTTTGAATGACTGTTACAGCTATCCTAGGACAATGACCATAATTGGCCCACATAGATTATATTAGTGGAGGATTAATCTGGTCAAAGATAGTCTTAAACTATTGTTCAAATATATCTCTCTATTTTATAATGATACATAGGCTTAGCTGAGTTTCAAGATTTCTTTTTCATGCTAAGTCTATAGGTATGGATTTTATCTTTACAATTAAACCCTTTTGTAACAGATAGCTATTTCTCCTTAACAAACTGCCCCAACACTCAAATCAAAAAAATATATGAGCATTGATTATTTGTCATGTCTCTATGGGTTAGCTGAAGTGTCTTTGCTTCAGACTGGACCAGGACTACTCTGCTTCACTGCTGAAGGGGTATGACTACCTGGGGTGTATACTTACCTTGGTGGAGCCAGAAGAGAAATAAAAATAATCCTAGTGTGGAAGCATATGCCAAAACTTCACTCACATCATATTCTCTAACATCCTATTGGCAAAGGCAAGGTACATGGTCAAGATCCACATCAGTGGGATAGGGAAATGTACCTCTTTTATGGAGGTTTTTGAGGGAGAAGAGACTAAATGTTGTCTGAACAATAATTTATCACAACTCCTTAAATAAATGAGAAGAAAAGATTAACATGCATTAAGCACATACTCATTTATGCATCATTTTAGAAAATATTAAAGAGTAGGTACAATGTAGCAACTTTGTGCTAGATAACTGAGGCTGCAGTAATGAACAATAACCTAGTGGCAAAACAAATGTTTATTTCCTTGTGAGCCCTAATAGCAATCCCACTGCTAGACATACACTCTTCCTTATTTTGCAGCTGAAGAAACTAAGGCAACAATTGATTAAATAATTTGGCCAAAGCCACACAGATAGGTAGCAAAGGTGGAATGTAAAGACTAATCAGCCTGAGTAGAAAGCCTTAATTATTTCAACCTCATCAATTTTGCTTTCCAGTAATAGATAAAATCTTATATGGCTTCAGAAATGAATAATGAAAAATAGACCACCATGGGTATGAGTTAGGGTTCAATCAGGTAAGCAGGACTAATATAAGTGATAGAGAATAAGGAATTCATTTATTAGAGCAATTAGCCCTTACACAGTTGAGGATGTCTGTTGCCTCTAGGTCTGGTGCTGAGCCCGAGGGCCAGCAGTCAGGAGGAGGAGATGGGTTTAATACCCATCTTAATGTAGGAGAGGCCAAGGACAAACAGGAATCTTTTAGGAGAAACTAAACATTCACCAAATCACTCATTACCTCAAGTTCCAATGACTGGGTGACTTGTGGGATAGGCCAGCATCCTTTAGTACAGAGCTGTATGTGCCCAGGACTCTCAGAATCCGAAGGAGTCTAATGAGAGCTGTAGCAGCTGTGGGCCCAGCAGCTGCCCCTTGCCAGCAGCAAATCTGTGACACCGCACACAAACTGCAACTGCACCTGCCTGACAGCAATCTTCAAAACCTAAAAATGTCTCCCCTCTACTTCCAAACCCTGCCCAAATAATTATCATGGCCAACCCTAACCTGAAACCACATAGGAAGGGAATTTGAGGAAATTGACATGGTCCAAAGCCAGCATACTCTGTTAGAACTCTTACTATGAATCAATTAAAAGTAGTATTGTAGTATTTGAAAGAGGAATATATAAAGTAAAATGATTCACTAGAATTTTCAAGTGCTGTAGTATGGGAAATACTGAGAGAGATCAGAGAGTTCGTGTCCAGAAGCTTTTCCCCTGCTTCTCTTTATTGTCACATCTGGGAGTTATTCCTTTTAGGGGTTGGTGACAGATTATGAGTACTTTTCATTTAACATTAAATGTCATGCTTAAGGATTCTTTTTTTTTTTTTTTTTTTTTTTTTTCAGACAGAGTCTTGCTCTGTAGCCCAGGCTAGAGTGCAGTGGTGTGATCTCAGCTTGCTGCAACTTTCGCCTCCTGGGCCCCAGTTCAAGCAATTCTCCTGCCTCAGCCTCCCGAGTAGCCGGTATTACAGGCACGTGCCACCATGCCCAGCTAATTTTTGTATTTTTAGTAGAGACGGGGTTTCACCATGTTGGCCAGGATGGTCTTGAACTCCTGACCTCATGATCCGCCCGCCTCGGCCTCCCAAAGTGCTGGGATTACAGGCGTGAACCACCACATCCGGCCACTTAAGGATTCTTAACATTTGTTTTTTCTCAGCATAATTCCTCTCTGATGTATACTATTTTGGCTACAAGTGATATAACTCCAACTCAAACTTGCTTAAGCAAAGAGGAGAAAATTTATTGGCCCAAATGCCTGGAAATTCAAGGATGACTCTTGCTTCAGGCATAGCCTCAGTTCAGGAGTACAAATTGTATCATTAGGGTTAGGCAGTATCCCAACTATGCTAGCCTCTGCTTATCAGTGTGTGTAAGGTTCACATTTTCCTATGTCAAATGGACTCTCTTCACATGGAGGAAAACCTAAGCGCCCGTATTCCCAAGTGTGCATCTTTACATCTTGAAATGCAAAAAATAAATAAGCCATTTCTCTTCCAACACATGCACACACTGACATTCCTCACAAAAGGACTCTAAGTTGTCCTGTCTCGGTCATGCGCCCACCACTTGCATCAAACACTGTAGGCAGAAGGAAGAGATACCATGATCAGACAGGCTTGGGTCTTCTGCCCATTGCTACAGCCACAAGCTGGCCCTTCACTGAGACTGACGTTTCCACCAAAACCCCCGGCATGAGGGAAGAGCAACTCCTTAAAGAACATGAGGGTTCTGGTGAAATTAAAATGACTGGTATCTGATTCAAATGTACTTTAAGGGAAATAATTGTACCTCCTTTAATTGAGAGAGGGAGGATGTTGACACTTACGTTGTTATTTTCCCTTTTCTAGAAAGTACAGCAGTGGCATAAAGAAGCACCTTTATTAGTTTTCTGATAACAGATGGAATGTAAGGAGAGAAACACACACTGGCAATAGAACCAAATGCAATTTTCTATAGATAGCTCCGTCTACTACTATACCAATTTAAAATACATTCAAAAAATTGCCACCAGATGAACTCTTTATAGCCAGCTTTAGCTTTGAGGGAAATAAAAGAAATCTAATGTCCAAGTGATATCTTGTAGTGGTTTGCTTTTGTTTGGGATTTTTTTTATTAACAAATAATCATGCATACAGCTGTTACACATTGGTCATTCACAACTCATATTTTTATATGAATTTTCTCATAATCTTATACATGTGTGTGTTTATGTGAATGGAGAGGCTTCTAACAGTGAAGAATGGCCTCTAATTGTAATGGATTTTACTTTTAGGTAAATTGGTAAAAACTAATTTTTACAGCATAACTTTAAATGGCTATTTTTCTTAATGATTTTTTTCCAGACAGAATGTGAATCCAGAAGTAATAAAGTACTGAAACCATTTCACAACTAAAAGTACTAAAGGATTTATCATTCACTCCTTCCTTCACTCTGTATGGAGGGGCTATCTTATGTCATACACTGAGCTAAGAACTAGGAATACTAAAAAGAGTAATACAGGTCCTTGCCCTGGATAAGCTCACAGAGTGGTGGAGGAAAATTCAAGAAACACAGAAAGTGCTATAAGCCACTTATGTCCAAACAACTATTACAGCACAGAAGAAAAAACATCTCATTTTCCTGAGGGTGTCAGAGAAGGCTTTTTAGATGAGATTTATGGAAAAAATAGCAATTTTATAATCAGAAGCCTAGAAAAGGGTATTCCAGGAAGAAAAAGCAGCATCCACTACTATAGAGCTCTTTGGACTAACTAGGTCACTGGTAGGACAGGGGACAGTGGGTAGGAGTGCCCAAGAAGCTGATAGGGGTGAGATCAGACAGAATGGGATGAGAACAGTATGTCATGCCAAGGAGTTTGGAAAGATAACTCTGGAAGCAAGGAAAAGGGTTGTGACAAATGAGAGAGACTGGTAACACTGAGACCTTATAGGTTGTAGAGAAGGCTTATAGAAGGTTGTAGACAAGGGGCCTAAAGGAAGACAATGGAAGCCTACAGAGACTTCTCCAATTAGAATGGAAATTAAGTAATGGATTGAATGAAAGAGCTAAGGAAGAAGAAGGAATGAAAATATTTCTCATGCGTCTAGTTTAGGAGAAATTAGTTGGATACAGTTACCATTAAATATACTAGGGAAAATGAGAAGAAACAGACATAGGGGTAGAGATTGGGGCAGCAATGAATTAGAAGAGAGAACAGAGCTATGTTTGCCTGTGCTACTAGGCATTAATTTTGTGTTCAGTGCAACAGCTCATAAAATAATGTATTTTAATCATAATATATTATTCTTTGATATATTTTGATTAATGTCACTTATGAAAGTATTCATCATGTCAATACACGTTATTAAATAACAGTATGGATCAAGTCATCTATTTCCATATTCCTAATACTTTATGAGAAATAGAGTGCTTTGAGTAGCAGTAATCTCATAATATATTTAATATTCTGTCTTCATAATTAGTATATTTATTATAGATGCTTTTGGGGGGGAGATACTGTCTGTAAGGTATGTGACTGCACAATATTTTGAGACAAATAATTTCTGCTGACCTCAACTGGTGATCCCTTTATTAAAGCTGAAAGCTAATACAGTTCATATTTCCTAAGCTCTATTTTTCATGTAGAGATGTTTTCATCTATAGGGGTATAACAAATGTTAAACCTTTTCAAATGGTGTCTTTTGGTTTAATTTGTGAAACTGGAGGACTACAGATTCCGTTGGGCTGGGATTAAACTGTGTGCACCAGAAACAATATAGCTAATAGTTGTTGAATATACACAGCATTTTTCAATGATGCTCTGAGAAACATGCTTACTACTACAGTTTAACTTTCACAGTGATCTTAGATAAGGCAATAAAATGTATTGCAAAAGAGGTAGCTAAGATTTTTTTTCTTGTCAAATGTCGGGTCGCAGGGGGTGGTTTGGGTGTCTAGTCTTATTTCACACTGAGTCTTTTTCATTTACTTTTCTTAATGCATTCAAAAGTTGTTAAAGTTTCTTATATAAAAAATATGATTGATTGTTACAGTGACAGTAATTGCATTTTAGCAAAAGTAACCATTATAGTAATTTTCTTCAGGGAAGAGAAATCTAACTAACTAAAGTAGCTAGTTACTTCCTCACACATTAACTTTGAAAATTTTTAACATAAAAATACTTTATAAGGGAAGTACAGAGTGAAGAACATAAAATGGCATGCAATATTTATAAAACTACTTCCATTAGGTGGCTCACAATTTTATGTAGCTGTTAATCACAACTTAAGTGAAACAAAGTAGAGAGAAAAACTAAAATTTCCTTGCTGTTGGGTCAATTAAACTAAGTCCTCAATTGAAGCCTTTTAAAAATGACTCTCAGATATTTTTTTTCATTTGTAAACTACAGAAGGTAATGATTTTTTAAACCAAAAAGATTTATTCATATCATGGCCTTAGAAGATTGAATAAAATAACTACATGAAGATATTATGATTGCAAAGAAAAAACAACTATTATACATGTGCATAGACAGGGTAATGTAGCATATAGTAACTTGTACATGTTAAATCACAAATGAAGCAGCATTAGCATTTAATTTTATGTATTCCACTGCACACCTGAATACTAATTAGCAACTAAAATAAGAAATGTGTGGTACTGCATGTATTGATAAAATCTCAGTTTGGTATTCTTCAGACACCATCAATTTAATATGAATTGCATACTGGGAAAAGATAGTTTATCATTTTTACAGTTTTGTTTCTAAAATCATTTTTCCTTATTATTGAAAGCAATATACTAATTTCAAAATCAGTTGAAGGTACATGGAATGCTGGCTAAATCTGGAATTACATTTTTAAATATTTATTGTTAACAATGTATAGACAGCAGCTGCCATTAGGAGTACAAAGCAGAAGCTGCAAATTCAGTATGCAAACGCATGAACAGTAATTCAAGATAACTTAAATCAATTGAGTCAACTCAAATTTTTCATTTTTAGTGAGGCACAGAGAACACTGGTACTTTGTCTCTGCCCTTCCTTAACCCTGTTTTTGAAATGGCCCCCAGAACTGCAAAAGAAAGATTTATTTTGAAGGCTGAGATACAGAAAAAAGAGTTTAAACTTCATGATTTTCCCCTGGCCACCTCTATTCATCTCTCTCCATCTCCATTCCTTTGCTAGCCTCTGTATTTAAATTGGCCTTTGCACTACCATTTGATTTATTTTTGAAGTTGTTATAGAAGAAAATTTCATTCACAAAACCACATTTCTTTAAATTAATACCTTCCTTTATTTTTCTATTATCCCCATAGATTACAGATCCCCTTCCATTCATTGGTACCATTCTGCCCATCTATTGCATCTATAATGCAAACTAGCTTTTATTATACATGGCAGGGAGTTCAGTGGGGGAAATTGCAGGGGTGTGTGTGTGTGTGTGTGTGTGTGTGTTTGCTTTTGAGTTGCAGTCTAAGGATTTAGTATACAGTTGGCTTATTGTAGTCTTTCAGCAAAGTCCTATCTGCTTAATGCATGGCTGGTATCTCACGTATTTATTAATAGAACACAAAGGTAAAAGGTAATTTTAAAATAATCACAGTAGCAGACATCAAAATAAAATGTTTCAAAGAGAAGGACGCAATAAATATCTACCAAGAAAATCACAAGGACTGTATTAGTTAGGATACTTCTAGTTATAAACAACAGGAAATCCAACTCAAATTTGCATAAATAATAAAGAGAATTTATGGGCTCATATAAGTAATAGTCCAGAAGATGGGAGACTTAGGTGCAAATGATCAGTTCCAGTTCCATTTGGCTGCCACTCTCTCAGTTCTTTCATTCTTTGATTTTTGGGTCTGCCCTTAAGCTACTTTCTTTCCAGGTTGCAAAGCTTTAGCTAGCAGCAACCGGGTTCATGTTATTTCTCATTTATATCTCCCAAAAGAAGGCATGTTCTCCTTTAGCCAAAAAAAACATCAAAGTCTGAGCTTCATTCTGATAGGCCCAATTTGGGTAATTCTTGAGTCATTTGTAGTGGCAAGAAGGAAAGATATATTGGTAGGAACCAACTTCAGCATGTACCTGGCACACACTGATATAACCCCATAGGTATATAAAATATTGAAATCCTTCTATACCGGAGGATAAGTAGCCAATATTCTAAGCTCCCCTCTCCCTCTGCTAAAGTGTTCACTGTACCAGCATCCCAGCCTTGAATGCCCCTGACTTCTCTATTACCCAGTGGTTAAAAAGTTAATACCTGCAAAGCAAGCATTCATTTGGACCCTGTTCCAGCAATGTAGCAGACACCTCTTCTGTTTGGGTGGATCGTGTACTGGTTGTTAGACGTGTTCACAGTCATACAAGCCTTCAGCTGAGGGCAGGATCAATCACACTGTATTGGTTCCATAGAGCTGCCGTAACAAAGTACCACACACTGAGTAGCTTAAAACAATAGACATTTACTCTCATTATTCTATAGTCCTTGAAGTCCAAAATCTAGGTATTGGCTGGGCCATGCTCCCTGTGAAAGCTCAGGGAAGAATCCCTCCTCATCTCTTCTAGCTTCTGGTTGTTGACAGTAATCCTTGGTGTTCCTTGGCTCGATACATAACAATTCCAATCTCTGCCTCTGTCTTTACATGGTGCCTTTATTCTGTGTCTCTGCCTAAATTTCCCTCTTCTTGTGATTCAATTAGGGCCCACTCTAATCCAGCATGACTTCATCTTAACTTGATCACATCTTCAAAGACCCTATTTCCAAACAAGGTCACATTCACAGGTTCTGAGTGAATAAGAATTTGAGAGGAGAAACTATCCAACCCAGTACACTAACCCAAATGGAATGGCTGTTAAGCAGCAGGAAAGTAGCAAAGTGCTGTTGGGGAAATGACCACAACGTCCACTACAGATACTGGACTCTCTGGGCCTTTGCTCTCCTCACTTACCTAATTGAAGTCAACAGCTTCATGGCTGAACTGGCATTTCAGGTTTTATTTGCATAAGACTTTCAGAGCTGGCTCCCATACTGCTTAACCTCATTTTTAACTCTAAGTCCTGAGTCCATGGACTTCAAAAAGTAGTTTAGAGAAGGGGTTTGGCAAAGAGTTCTTAAACCCACATACCAGTTCACACATCAGTAGAGTGAACAAGCAATACATCTCATCTGTGTAAGCACTATTATTTTTCAAGTGTATGTAGCTGTGATTAATTAAATAAAAATTTACTTAAAACCTTCTTGCATTTATAATACCTCATTGTTATTATGTATTTTCTCTATCAACAGATAATAGAGAACAACTGCTGCTGTACTTTAGCACACTGGCCTCTATTAGAAGGGCCATGGGATTCAAGTCTGGCCTCTGTAGTGAAGGTGAAAACAACAATGGCTCAAATAAATAGTCATTGATTTCTTTCTTATATAAGAGCTGGAGGGCCAGACACGGTGGCTCAAGCCTGTAATCCCAGCACTTCGGGAGGCCAAGGTGGGCAGATCACTTGAGGTCAGGAGTTTGAGACCAGCCTGGCCAACATAAGCCATTTCTAAATGACTTACATGGCTCTGCTCACTGAAAACACTGGCCATCACCTCTCAATGTTCATTATCCCACTTTTCTACTTTAGATGTATTTGTAAGCCATTTCTAAATTTACTAATCCTTGTTCAAGGCTTGGGGTTTTTTTTTAGAGACTTTAGTGTCTCTGGTATATAGATAATTTTTTGGTCTACTTTCCATAGAAATCTCCTGAAGTTTTGTGAAGTTTTCTGGAGTTCTAAGCTTCTTAACCAATAGATATGCAATATTTGTTATTTCAAGGAAGCAAACGTCTCACTCTCTAAAAGTTTGAATTGGGAAGTGAGGTGAAAGATAGATTTCCTCAAAATGTATTCCCCAAATTACATTTTATTATGAGCAATACATTAGCAAGTCAGATAGTTCTTCCTCATCTCCAGCTTTTCTTCATCCTAATGCTAGTGCTAGTGGGTCCCAGGACTTAGTCTCTTGTCTACATATACTCATCTTCTGGTATCCACAGTCTGCCTACATGGCTTAAAACCCTAATGAACATTTTCTCTTCTTGGTCTAATAAGCATTTTAATCTCAAACTTATCTAAATGAACACTTCTGATCTGTCCCCCATTCTCATTTCCAAACATGTCAATGTCCCAGTCTTAATCTTTCATTTACCAACCACTCCAGTTTCTTAAGCTAAAATCTTTAGAGTCATCCAAAATTTTATTTGCCTTTTTCTCACACCCTACAAAAATCCTTCAGCCCCTTTATGCAAAATATATCCAGATTACAATCCCTCCTGACTGCTTCCTCTGCTACCCACAACTCTGATTCAAGTCACCACCATCACTTGTATGGATTACTACAGTAACCTACTCATTGATCTTCCCTGCCTCTGTCCTGGTCCTTCTAGCAGTATCTTCTCAACAGAGGAGTCAGACTGCTTTCTGGTTAAATCATAGTCAGATCTTGTCATTCCTCTGCTCAATCCCCTCCATTCAGAGTAACACCCAAAGCCCTTACACCGCCTCCAGGGTGCCACATGACGTGGCCTCTGCTATCTTTCTGGCTGCATCTCCTACTCTACCCCAGACACGCCTGCCTCTTTGCTTCAGGATAATGTACTTGCCATTATCTCTTCCATCAGGTATTCAAATGGTTCACTCCCTCCACTCCTTCAAGTCTCTGCTCAAATGTTACCCGTTCCTGGCACAACTTGTTCTCCTACAATTGTTATCATCATTTGATATATTATATATTTCACATATTTATATTGTTCATTGTTTGTCTTCCCCAGAAGAATATAAATTCTTATATAAAAGTAATATTTCTTAAATAGTCTCAGTTTTTTCATTTTGTTTTTTGGGTTTGTTTGTTTGTTTGTTTTGAGACAGGGTCTCCCTTTCACCCAGGCTGGAGTGCAGTGGCTTGACCATGGCTCACTGCACCTTAACCTCCCGGGCTCAAGTGATTCGCCTGCCTCAGTCTCCTGAGTAGCTGGGACCACAGACATGAGTCACCACACCTGGCTAATTTTTAAATAATTTTTTTTTTGTGCAGATGGGGTCTTACTGTGCTCCCCAGGCTAGTCTTGAACTCCTGGATTCAAGTGATTCTCCTGCCTCAGTCTTCCAAAGTGCTGGGATTACAGGCATAAGCCACTGTGCCTGGCCTATTCTAAGTTTTATTTACTATATATTTTCAGCTCTTAAACCTGTACCTGGCATAAAGAAGAGCACAACAATATTTGACGCATGAACGAAAGTATATTTTTTTAATTTTTTAAACATAAACCCTTTCACAAAAATAAATAGGCATTCAAATATCCCAAATAAATTTAAAAGAAACTCATACATATAGAGTGCCAACCACGTGTCAGGCTCTAGGTAGCACTTTACAAGTATGGAATTTTCATAGCAGGTCCTGTGTGATTGGTCTTATTATAAACAACTTATGATGAGATGTTACATAACTAATTTTAGAAGTGGAAAAAGTCAACACATGCGTAATAAGCTCAAAGTCTGACTTATCTGACTCCAGAGTCCATTCTTTCAACACGTCTCTTTGAACAACGACAAAAAAAACCACCAAAACAACAATAAAAAAAAATGGGGTGGGGCTGAGCGTGGTGACTCACGCCTGTAATCCAGCACTTCAGGAGGCTGAGGCGTGTGGATCACTTGAGGTCAGAAGTTCGAGATCAGCCTGGCCAACATGGTGAAACCCCGTCTCTACTAAAAATAGAAAAATTAGCCTCACGTGCTGGTACATTCCTGTAATCCCAGCTACTCAGGAGACTGAGGCAGGAGAATCGCTTGAACCCAGGAGGCAGAGGTTGCAGTGAGCTGAGATCGTGCCGCTGTACTCCAGCCTGGGTGGCAGAGCGAGGCTCAGTCTCAAAACACAAAACAAAACAAAAAACAAACAAACAAAGAGATGTCATCAAATCTTTGTGTAAAAGAGTACAGCTAAATGCCTAACTAGGATTCCAAGTGTGTGAAAATTACAAACACAAACTTTCAGAAGAAAAAAAAAAAACTCAGTAGGCCAGGCAATAGACTGAGTGCAGACTGGAATGGAACACCTGTACAGTCAAGCAGACCAGGAGATTCTGGCTAGAGAAAATGCTCTGAAAACTCCATCTTCTCTTCTCTTTTGTGGCCATCACTGAAGCAGCAGCAGCCAAAACAAAAGCCAATCCCTTTGTGATATGTGAGCAGACCAAGAACTGGAAAAGTCATTTCAATGCACCTTCCCACATTCACAAGAAGATTATGTCTTCCCCACTTTCCAAAGAACTAAGACAGAAAAGAAACGTTCAATCCGTGTTCATCCAAAAGGATAATAAAGTACAGGTTGTCCAAGGACACTACAAAGGCCAGCAAATTGGCAAAATAGTCCAGGTTTAGAGGAAGAAATATATGATCTACATTGAACCGATGCAGCAGGAGAAGGCTAATGGCACAACTGTCCCTGTGGGAATTCACCCCAGCAGGATGGTTGTCACTAAGCTAAAACTGGACAAAGAGTGCAAAAAGATCCTTGAACCGAAAGGCAAATCTCACTAAGTACAAAAGGGAAAGGACAAATTCAAGGAAGAAACAATTCAGAAGATGGAGAAGGCCGGGTGCAGTGGCTCACGCTTGTAATCACAGCACTTTGGGAGGCCGAGGCAGTAGGATTGCTTGAGCTCAGGAGTTCCAGGTCACAGTGAGCCATGATCACATCACAGCAATCCAGCCTGAGCAACAAAATGAACCCTGACAAGAAAGAAAGTAAAGGAAGGAAGGAAGGAAGGGAGGGAGGAAGGGAGGGAGGGAGAGAGGGAGGGAGGGAGGGAGGAAGGAAGGAAGGAAGGAGGGAGGGAGGGAGGGAGGGAGGGAGGGAGGGGAAATAATCTTATATACAATTTTTATTAAAAACTGCTAAAATATTTTTTAAAAAATCTTAGCCCCATTCCTGTGGTACACCTGCTACCCCACATTCCCACCACTCAAAAGGTAGAGGATGGTTTTAAGTTCTTAGTGATTTGATATCAATTTGCACCAGAAGAAAGACATAATCAAAGACATCCAGGAATACAATTAGGGCCTTCTTTATGCAAGAGTTCTCCTGTCTTTGTCAATTATAAAACAGTAGAAAGGGCATTCCTTTGCCCTGCTGCTGACCATGTGAAGAAACCTGAGCATGGCTCTACCTCTGTTCTTCTGGAAGTCTTTCCTTTGAAAGATGCATTACCTTTGAAAACAACTATGTTTTAAAAATAATCCAAAAAGGAAAAAGAAAGAGGGCAAAAGTAATGGCACACCCTAGATATAAGGAAATGTTCTTGGGAAACATTTGCAAGTAGGTACCTGAAATTTTTTTAAACCACATCAATAAAAGAAGAGATTATATGAATGACTTTTGAATATTGAAACTTCAAGTATGTTGGCAAACAAGAAGGCCCATAAAATAAGACAACACCCTTTCTACCTTCCCCTAAGGTCTCTAGTCCATAAGCAGAAATTCTACAGGAACATTTATATAAGTAATTTCTATTTGGAGCCAACAGAAGCCTCACAATTGCCAGTATCTCTCAGATAATAAAGACAATAATAAGTGCCTTAAGATTTTGATTCTTCATGTTATCTGATCTGAAGTTTCACTGGTTTTGCTTCAGAATTTGTCTCAAAGAAAATTAAAATTTATATAAAAATCTGGGATTTTAAAAGCATTTTATATCTTGGCTTTCTTTAGAGAATTTTGTAGAAGACAGATAAAATATTAAAACCATAGCTGAAACAAGGCAATAAATTTGAATTTACTAGAGCAAAGTCAGAATTTTAGTACCAATAGTATAAATCTACATATTCACAAATTCATTTCTCTATTGTACATATTTTATATTAACTGACACAACTGTCCAATATCCATGCTTATGTTTTCTCTAACAATTAGAAACATGGCTTGAGATGTACCGCAAATGAAAATATTCTTCAACATACTAAATTTCACATTATAATGGCTAGCTCAGTACTAAAACTTGGGTGACAGCTGCAGCTCTTCAGAAACTAGCATTTAAAGGTAGTAATATTCTAGGAAGCACTTAAAGAAGACATGTTGTCCCCATCTAATTTAAGGTAGAGAACTGTATATATAGAAAAAAAAAACTGGCAGAAATTCAGCAAACAGAAACCTGTGTCTCATAGCAAAAGACAGTTGGACAACTTCAAAAGATAGCAAGATATTATTTAAGTCAAACATCTCTACTAACTAGGAAAAATTAGATTATCTCATCAAATCCAATATGTGCCATTTTTAAAAATTACATGCCCATAATTAAGTGGTTGAGTTCACCTACATATTTGAGCTAACGTATCAAACAAAGAAAACAGGCTTGGCCGCAAAGTCAATGAAAGTCAAATAAAAGGCCAAACTAAACAGATGAGACACCATGCCCTGAAGATCAACAAAGGAGATTACTGTTAGGTGAGGCAGGTTTAGAAACTTTTGGCAAGGAGGATTTGATGTGCCCATCACAAACACAAAGCAACTCATTCAAGCTAGTTAAACACAATTGTACTGCAAGATTGATGGATAGTTGATTGCCTACAATTGAATTTCTTTTTTCTTTTTTTTTTTTTTTTGAGACAGAGTCTCACTCTGTCACCCAGGCTGGAGTGCAGTGGTGCGATCCTGGCTCACTGCAAGCTCTGCCTCCCGGGTTCACGCCATTCTACTGTCTCAGCCTCCCGAGTAGCTGGGACTACAGGCACCCGCCACCACGCCTGGCTAATTTTTTTTTTTTTTGTATTTTTTAAGTAGAGACGGGGTTTCACCGTGTTAGCCAGGATGGTCTCGATCTCCTGACCTTATGATCTGCCTGCCTCAGTCTCCCAAAGTGCTGGGATTACAGGTGTGAGCCGCCGCTCCCAACCACTAATTTTTCGTATTTTTTAGTAGAGACGAGGTTTTGCCATGTTGGCCAGGCAGGTCTTGAACTCCTGACATCAGGTGATCTACCCACCTCAGCCTCCCAAAGTGCTGGGATTACAGGCGTGTGCCACCATGCCTGGCTGAATTTCTTTTACCATACTGTACTAAAGTTAAAATCCAATGAGCTTTACATAGATAGCCCAGACATATTTTTTAAATGTTTGGTAATAACAGAGTAGTAACAAATAGGTAGCTTTGTATTCATTAATTGTTTTAAATAAAGACAGGGCGCTATATATATATATATACACACACATATATATACACATATATATACATATATGCACATATATACACATATATACATATATACATATATACATATATACATATATACATATATATACATATATATATACACATATATATGTATATATATGAAATGTGATGGCAAGAATGACGGCTGATGTTAAGATAATAATGCAGTATTCCTGTTTTAATACAATCCTCATTCAGGTGTATCCCTCCTAAAATAATTCTATACCTTTTGAACACCTGTCATCACCTGGTCTGGTCTAGGGTACCAAAGAGTCCATAATATAACCATATTTGCCATTTCTGGGATTTGTCAGAAGAAACCTCCATTCATTAAACTTTGCAAAGCACAATTTCTTCTCCCTCGTGGCATTCATCAGGATTCTTCCTGCAGGTATTACAATCATACACCTAGAAAACTCAATAGACTTGACTAAAAAACTGTTTAGCAAAGTATTAAGGCACAAAATTAATATACAGAAGTCAAACAATAAACAGTATAAATGTGTAATGGAAGAAAGGACCCACTTACATAGAAAAGCAAAATAAAATACACAAAAGTGTAAGGGACTTTTGAGAGAAATACAAGAAATTTTGAACAAAGGGAAGATGTACCTCATCAGTGGAGTTAACATCCAAAAAATATCAATTCTTTATCAGCTAATTTATCATTTCAACATGAGCCCCATAAGAAAAATATTGACAGTGGGTTTTTGTGAAACTGGCAAACATCATAGAGTTTACAAAGAAAAATAATTTACCAAAATAAATCAGGAAAACTCTGAGAAAAAGCAGCAGAGAGGGAATTAGCACTATCTGATATTAAAACATATTATAAAAACCTAAATACTTAAAACAGTGTGGTGTTGGTTCATCAGTACACAAACTGACCAACAGAACATTACAGAAAGTCCAGAAATAATTACAAAAGCATACTTCAATATATGATAGAGACAGCATTTCAGATCAGTAGGGAAAAGATGAACATTTTAATAAATGATAATAGACTATCTGAGGGAAGAGATGTCTTTTTTCCTATTTAGATGGGTACTTTCTTCCATTATATAATCATACTGTTTGTTGTTTGATTTCTGTATATTAATTGTGTGCCCCAGCACTTTGCTAAAGAGTTTTTCTGTCAAGTCTCTTGAATTTTCTAGATATACAATTACAATATCTGGCAGGAAGGATTTTAATGGATGTTGAGAGGAGGCATACTCCAATAAAACCAGTATAAATTTCAAATGAATCAAAGATCTACACATAAAATACAGAGAGCATATAAATATTGGAAGAAAGCACAGAATTTCTTTTTAACATTGCAGTGGAGATGCGAGTTATATTTGTGACTTAAAATTCAGAATTCATAAAATACAATAGTAAATTTAATAAAAAAGCTATAAACAAAGTCAAAAGACAAATGATAAACTGAGAAACTCAAATCATAGACAAATACTAATCTCTCTAACTCATAAAGAGTTACTAGAAACTAATAAGAGCCCAACCACATAATAAGAAAATCAGCAAAAATATGTATATTCGAGTCATAGAAGAGAATGCAAATGGCTTGTAAACATAAATAGATATAAACATAATTAAATGATCAAGTTCACTTAAAATAAGATAAATACATGCTGAAACTACACTGGAATACCTTTTTTTTCAGAATAGTAATGGTGTAAGAGCTCGATCGTAGGAAAACAGACCCTCTTATACATTAGGGACAGCTGAAATTAGACAACTCTGATGGAAGGAAATTTTGCAATATTTATTAAAGCCAAAATTGCATATACCCATTGATGCAGAAGTGTACTTCTAAGGAATTTATACTTATACTTGCCCACATGTGAAATGACTAATATGTAACTGTATCCATGCCAGTATTGTTTGAAATTTAAAACGTTTTAAATGTTTGAAACAATTTGAAATAACTCAAGTGCCCATCAGTAGGAGAATGGTTAAAAAGTTATTGTACATTTACAGAGTGGAGTACTACACAGTGGTATTTTTAAAAAAAAGAATAAGGAAGCTCACTAGTATTGAGCATCAAGATGTATTGCTAAATGCAAAATTAAAAGCAATGTATAAATTAGTGTAATTTTATGCTGCTTTTTGTAAAAAGTGAAGGAATAAGACTGTATATTCATATTTTCCAGTGTATGCATAAAGAAACTTTGCAAGAACATTTAAGAAAATAATAACAGTGATCATGGTTGTGTGTGTAAGAGGGTTGTGGAAATAGTATACAAAGTGAGAGCAACACTTTTCACAGTGCCTTTCAACTTTTTTTTAAAGTTTGAACTATGTGAATATATCACATTTTAAAGAAGGGGTTTGAGTAGACTGTTCTTGCCAAGAGGAGCTGTTCCATTACAGACTTAGTCACAAGACAAACCATTTGCTGTTAGGGAGAGTGGGAAGTCAATTAAAACTACCTTCTTCATTGACAGAGGACTCCTACTAAAAAGTACACCATTAATGCTACATTTTGGAAAGAGAGATAACATACATTTTTATTTATTTTTGTGGCTTTACCTAAAAAAAAGGGAATTATGACCAAATACAATGTCTTTTCCTTTAAGTTTCTCTTTTTTTCAACTACTATTATTATTATTATTTTTTTTTTTTTTTTTTGAGACAGAGTGGCGTGATCTTGGCTCACTGCAACCTCCGCCTCCCAGGTTCCTCTATCTCTTGACCTTGAGATCCACCCACCTCGGCCTCCCAAAGTGCTGGGATTACAGGTGTGAGCCACTGCGCCCAGTCTCTTCAACTATTCTTAAACATTTTTTTAAAAACCCACTCCTCACCTTCCTTGTAACGTTGTTGTTGTTGTTGTTGTTGCTGCTGTTTTGTTTGAGAAGGAGTCTTGCTCTGTCACCCAGGCTGGAGTGCAGTGGCACAATCTCAGCTCACTGCAACCTCCGCCTCCCAGGTACAAGCGATTCTCCTGCCTCAGCCTCCCAAGTAGCTGGGATTACAGGCACCCACAACCACACCTGGCTAATTTTTGTATTTTTAGTACAGACGGGGTTTTGCCATGTTGGCCAGGCTGGTCTAGAACTCCTGACCTCAGGTGATCCACCTGCCTCGGCCTCTCAGAGTACTGGAATTACAGGCGTGAACCACTGCGCCTGGCCGTAACCTTTTTAATGTTATTTTGAAAGCTGATATTTCCTCTATCTTTGTTGATTTTGCCATTAACGTGGGAAATGATTTCAGTTTGTCTAAAGAACTTTAAAGTTTTCTCATCAAGGTGGAAATATTGTTTTAGTACAAGCTTGTCAAATGAAAAGTGTAGTGGAAAGGATTGTTTCTCAAACTGAATTCATGAGAGTTTCTTTGTGCTTAAGGCTCACCTTGTATGTGTCGCCTCTGATTTCACACTCTGGCTTCAGACTAACATCTTACCAACTTATGAAGGTCATTTTTCTCTCCTCTAAGATATTAATTAACAAACCATCCATTTCAGCTCCCTAAAAGTATAACAATATGTTTTCAATTCTTTCATCAGGAAATCAACGAAATATAAAAGCAACTACACTCATCACAGCTTTGCACTATCATTTGATTCATTTCCTCTAGAAGCATGTCTATAACTGACTACTCTTCAGCTGCAACTTTGCCAAATTGTTCAACTACCTAGAAGTGGGGTAAACCAGACTGCACTATTTTAGTTATCTGAAAGCTTCTTCCCTCTTCTCGCAGCTGCTGCAGCTGCTAATACTTCATCATAAGTAGATATCCTTAGACCTCAACCTGCCTAGATTGAAACTGATCCAATCTTCTGTCCAGAGGTTTCATAGAAGAATGCATAACTATGACAACACTAGTTTGATGAAAGAAAAGTAAACTCCAATAATCTAGAATTCCCTTTAGCAATTGTTTCAAAGAGGAATTTATCACACTTTGCATTGTAACTTGGCGTATGTGGTAACAATAATATGAAAGAGCTACTGCTGGAATTAAAAGACTTATATTCAGTTCATTTTTCTTTATCTCCCCTCCGCCTCACCACTGTTTTTTCCCCTTGTGCTTCAGTTTGGTTTCAGGACTGTAAATAGAATAAAGGGCAGATTGATCTTGGGGGAAAATAATTTTAATGCAATATGGTGACCAAAAATGTTTGTTTAAAAAATAAACATAAGCAGGCTGGGCTCGGTGGCTCATGCTTGTAATCCCAGCACTTTGGGAGGCCAAGGCAGGTCAGGAGTTCAAGACCAGCCTGGCCAACATGGTGAAACCCCATCTCTACTAAAAATACAAAAATTAGCTGGGCATGGTGGCATGCACCTGTAATCCCAGCTGCTCAGGAGGCTGAGGCAGGGGAATCAGTTGAACCTGGAAGACAGAGGTTGCAGTGAGCCATGATGGTGCCACTGCACTCCAGCCTGGGCAACAGAATGAGACCCTGTCTCGAAAACAGAAATAAAAATAAAAACATATGCATACAATAATAATTGAAGTAGCTAAGTGGTAGATCCCTGAAGGTTTAATATACTGTCCCTCAACTTTTGTGTAATCTCAGCACTTTGGGAGGCCGAGGCAGGCAGATCACAAGGTCAGGAGATCGAGATCATCCTGGCTAACATGGTGAAACCCCATCTCTACTAAAAATACAAAAAAATTAGCTGGGCGTGGTGGCAGGTGCCTGTAGTCCCAGCTACTCGGGAGGCTGAGGCAGGAGAACGGTGTGAACCCGGGAGGCGGAGCTTGCAGTAAGCCGAGATTGAGCCACTGCATTCCAGCCTGGGCGACAGAGCAAGACTCCGTCTCAAAAAAAAAAAAAAAAAAAAAAAAAAATTCCATATCAAAATATTAAAATCGGTAAGCATTAAAGTACATTCTCATTCTCTTTTGCTGTGGTGCATCTTATCGGATATCCTCTGAATTACCCTTTGCCTCATCCCCCCAAATTGGATTTAAATCCAGAGACAGGGATTAAAATATAATTGAGGTAAAATGTCCTGTTGTTTTGTTGTATTTGAGAATATAATGGGGAAGGTACAGCGATAACAGCAAAGTGATAGTGATCCCTGAATGCTAGAAAATGGGGGCCACTCAGGCAAGTTGTTGATGTTGATTGTATATGTTTAGAGACAGGGAGGAGAGAACATGGTATGGGGTTACACAAGGTTGCTGTGAGGAAATAAGGGTTTAAAGGAACTCTGAATCCAGACAGTCAAGAACACGAGGGGAAAAAAAAAAAAGAACATGCTCAGAAGGGGCTGGTAACTAACTAAAGGCTGAGCTCAGGAGATCTCTGGATATTTTTACATTTCCAAAATAAAGGAAAGAAGGCTGATCATGAGAGATCTGTGGTTTCATTCCCAATGGCTCTGGATAGGCTGGACACTCAGATGGCTACAAGGATTGCTGTTTTAATCTGAAGCTCATCCAGGCATAAAAAGACACTGAATCTACAAGACATAGCTTTTTTAAGAAAGGTTTATTTGCCCTTGCTTGAGAATGGAAGTAGAGTGAACTAGAAAGGAAAGTGATGTCACAGGTTAGGATTCAAGGGGGAGAGCAGCAAAAGAGAGAATTGAGATTGCTTAAGAGAGATGGTTTATGGCTTTCAGGCTGTACTGAGCTAATGAAGCAACATACAGAAGTAACTCACCTCTTCTAGCTATAGCTTGTTCCTGAGATTGCCCAAGAAGATAGTAATATAGTTGTGGGATTGATCAGATTGTGTGTACTATATTTTGATGAATGTAATGGAAAAGGCGTGCTCCAGAGAGGAAAAGGACTATCAGTCTGTAGAGAGGTATTTGGAAAAGAGATCCCTCCTGGCTTGAATCTTTAAATGGTTGAAAGGTAAGCTTTTTCTCAAGATGAAGGTCAGAGAAAACCCAGGTGAAGTTGCTTTCTGTTTGGGACTTGAGAGTGGTGTTTCATCAAGTATTTAGAACCTAATTGCAAAAGCATAAATAAATTTCCCAAGCCCCTTATTCTCTTTATAAATAGCACCTTCTCACTTATATGCTGTTCTTCATTTGCCTGAAAAACAAAATAAGGCTTTCTAGTATCTGTATCTATCCACAGATACTCAGCAGCTTTGTGGGTCCTGCTTTATTATTCTCATTTGTGATTTCAGAATTTATCTTGAGAATATGCTTATGAAACTCGCCAAAGATGCAAAGTTAGTTGGAATGCCCTTTACTTAAGAAAACATGATTAAATTCTAAGTCATCTTCACAAATCTGATTACCTTTAATAGGGGCAAAAGCAGATTAAATCACTTAAAAGAAATAGATGTTATAAATTTATATAAGAAGGCAGAATATTTTCTACTGTCATGATGTATCAGAAACAAACAAACAAACAGAAACCTCTACATTGATCACTGACCAGGTCTTAATCAGGGTACTGTTTTTTAGGAGAAAGCCTTTTAATGCAGATGAAATGACAAGGCAAGGATCTCTTCTGAAAGGGAGAAATTCAACCAATATGTCAAGGTTTACTAAATGACAGAAGGAAAGCTTAAATGAAGTAAAGATCACTAAGGTAAGAATAGAATCTAATAATCTTCAAATATCTAGAAAGGAATCATAGAATTGTGATCAATCATACTACATTTGAATAGAAGGCAGGGAAAGAGCAAATTGTAAAAATACTTATTATTATCATGGAATGACTTCCTTATCATAAAAAGTATGTAAGATTATAATAAATAAGCATTAAGAAATCTCATCAAAAGACATGCTTAAGTTGGGATTGGGCATGGTGGCTCACGCCTGTCATCATAACACTTTAGGAGGCTGCGGTGGGAGCATTGCTTGAGGCCAGAAGTTTGAGACCAGCCTGGGAAACATAGCAGGACTCCATCGCTACCAAAAAAAAAAAAAAAAAAAAAAAATAGCTGGGCAGTGGCATGCACCTGTAGTCCCAGCATCTCAAAAGGTGGAGGCAGGAGGATTGTTTGAGCCCAGGAGTTTGAGGTTGCAGTAAGCTATTATCACACTACTTGCACTCCAGCCTAGTAACAGAGTATAATGCTGTCTCATAAAGAAAAAAAAAAGATATGTTTAATTTGGATGACAAATACTCTTCTGTCTCACAGAGAGCATTAAAAGATGACGTTCAAAATTCTTTCTATCCCTGAAATCCTAAGATTATCTGTAGAATCAAGAATTAATATTGTTCTTTATGAATGACCTAACAGAGATTCTGAAACCTTGGATACCTATCTAATTTTAATAAGTTGGTGGCTAGTAATATTCTAAAGAAACTGACACGGCAGTAAGTGTGGTAGAAAAGCATAATAATCCTAGAGTAAGACAATCCTGACTCTCTCCTCACAAATCTTATGACTGTCTACATCTGAATCTCCACATTTGGAAATTACTACATTTGAAATCCAACTTCAAGAGTTGTACAAATGGTAAGATAATATATGTGAAAGTTTAAAAACTATAAAGCCTTGTAGGCATATAAGTTTTTGTTAATAGTAGTAATACTGTTAGAAATAAATCATTCCTATTTCTCAGTGGCACATGCAGGAATCTCTCTACTGTGAGTATAAAACCTTTCTCTCCTTGCACAAAACTACGCAAGGGAATTTATCCAAGAATTAAAGAAGGGCCTCAAGGTTAATCATTTACTTTTATTTGTTTTTAAAGTTGTTTTTACAAGAGTATGCATTCATATAACAAAGTACACAAAGTGTATTGCTCAAATAATTTTAATAAATGAATACACCTGTGCATCCATCATTCAGGTCAAAATATAGAACGTTACCAACATCCTAGAATGTTCTCTTATGTTAATACCTCCTCCTCAAAGATAACTACTGTTGTGACTTTCATTTTAACTATCTTAGAAGTTCACATAAATAAAATCATAGTGTACACTCTTTTGTATCTGGCTTCTTTGGCTCAACATATTTCTATGAGATTCATCTATGCTGTTGCATGAAGCAGTTGTTCATTCTTTTTCTTACTATAGGCTATTTCAATTTAAGAAAACACCAAAATAGAAGCACTTGTAGAACGACAAAGTAAGGACCTCTGAAAATGTCTACCTCTACAAAAGCAAAAGGACACTAGTAAAACTGGTCAAAACTAACTTTTTCAAAAGTCTGGAAACAAAAAATTTACACCAATCTGAGCAGCATTAATTAAAAACACAACTGGATTTTGGTAAAAACAGTGAGTTTTGTGGCATTTTAACTTGACTTTTTACCATAGTCCTCTTCCCACCCAGATCCAGGGTAGCTTTGAAAATCAGCAGACTTGCATCATGTTTTGTAAAAACCACCCTAGCAGTCACCGAAATGGCAAGAAGGGTTTGGGGTTCCCAAATACTCCTCAGTGAATTGTCAGTATTCGATCTATCTGGCAGCTCCCTGGAAAAGCTCTTTTCACAAAACTTGTCGTTTTTACCTGACTCAAGAGTTCACTCAGCGAGGAGAGGTCTATCCTCAAGACAATTTTCAGAAGCATTCAGTGACAATTGTTTGACATTATAGCTGCCTAGGCATTTCAGCCAAATAAGAGGCTTGCCAAAAAACTTTAAATGGAAATTCTGGAAAATGAGTGCATAGTGGATTTTTAAAAAACTCCAACACATTCCTTGAAATGTAGAAGGCCACATGCATGCCCCAGAAAGACCTGGCAAAGCCCTATTCTTTTATCTCTAGCACAATTTGAGGCTCTGTGCAAGTAGGAAGTGAAGGCTAAGGCAGGCTTATAAGATACCTGAACACTGAAGGCATGTTCCAACACAAACACACATAGAGCCTCTGGGCAAAATCTGGGAGACATTATTTCAAGGCACTTAAGAAAATCTTCCTCCAATCATTAGCTGACCACTAAGCTAACCAAGCAGAGACTTCAGGGGCTACATGCAACAAAAAGTACAAATTTTACAGAATTAGTCCAGGAAAGTCACCAAACAAAAAAGAACAAACAGTAACAACATTAAATGCTGGAGGGAGGAATTCTGATTTCTGACGTTACCACATTATATTATATAAATAGTCCAGTTTTCAAAAACAAAAACATGTAAGACATACAAAGACACAGGAAAGTATGTCCCATACACAGTGGGGAAAAAAGTAGTTAATAGAAACTGCCCCTGAAGTATCCCAGGTGTTGAGCTTTCTAGGCAAAACATTTAAATCAGCCACTAGAAATATTTTCAAAAAGTTAAAGGAAATATGGCTAATGAATTAAAGGAAAGTGTAAGAAAGGTGTCTTATCAAATAGAGAATATGAAAAAATATATAGAAGTTACTTTTTTAAAAAAGAATCAAAGAGAAAATTTGTAAGAACTAAACTGAAAAATCTGTAATAACTGAAATAACTAACATGAACAATTTACAGAAGAGTTCAAGACCAGATTTGAGCTGGCAGAGGAAGAATCAGCAAAATTAAAGAAAGGATAATTAAAGTTGTCAGTTCTGAGAAATAGAATTTTTTATGAAGAAAAATGAACAGAGCCTGTGGAACACACTCAAGAGTACCAAAATGTGCCTAATGGAAACCGCAGAAGGAAGAGAGAGAAAGAAACAAAGATTATTTGAAGAAACAATGGCCAAATACTTCCCACATTTGAAGAAAAACTTTAATCTATAGATCTAGGAAGCTCAACAAACCCAAATGTAATCAACATGAAGAGATGTATCTCTAGATAAATAATAGTCAAACTGCCAAAAAACAAAGAATAGAAATGTAATTTTGTTCATAACACTTTTCTTCTCCTGAATGATTTAAAAGGTAGCTGTATAAAATGATTATAGAACTCTTTTGATGGGTTTTGATGTATAAAAGTATAATTGGTATGATAAACACAAATAGCACAAAAGAATGGGGAGGGAAGGAGCTATAGTGGAGCAAAGTTTTGGTACATTCTTAAAATTAACTTAGTATTAATCTAACGCAGATCATTTTAACACATCAAATGCAATCTCCATGGCAACCACTATGAAATTAACTCAAAATAATAGAAGAAACAATAAAGGAATTAAAATGTTACACTAGAAAGTAATACAAAAGCAGGCAGTGACTGAGAAACAAAAACACATAAGACATATAGAATACAAATAGCAAAATGGCAGGTGTAAATTCTATCTTATCAGTAATTACATTAAATGTGGATGGATTAAGCACTTGAATCAAAATACAAAGACTGGCAAAATAGATTTTTAAAAATATGACCCCACTATTGAATCTAAAGTCTTTAAAAGATATACTTTAGATTCAAAGAACAAAGAGATTGAAATTAAAGTAACAGTAAAAATCTCTGGGGTTGTAACCAAAGAGACTTAGTACTCAAAAGAGACTTTGATTGGCTATATTAATATCAGAAAAATGGAAGCGAAGATTAAAAAAATGACTATTAGAGACAAAGAGAACATTTTATAACAATAATTGGGCCAATCCATCAAGATGGCTAAACAATTATAAACATATATGCACCTAGCAGCATAGCTCCAAAGACATGAAGTAAAAGGTTATAGAATTGAATAAAGAAATAGTTCAAAAACAGTAGTTGGAAATGTCAATATTTCACTTTAAATAATGGATATAAGAAAACAAGAGAAGACTAACAAGAAAATAGAAGCCTAGAACAATATAAGCCAACTAGACCTAACAGGCTTCTGTAGAACACTCTCTAGTAATAGCAGAATTCACATTTCTCTCAACTGAACATGGAATAATTTTCCAAGACAGACTGTGTGTTAGGCCATAAAACAAGCCTCAATACATTTTAAAAGACTGAAATCATACAAAGTATGTTCTCCAAACATAATACAGTGAAATTTGAATTAATAGAAACAATTAAAGAAATATACCAAAAATGTAAGCCATGAAGTAAAAACAGTGCTCAGAGAGAAATGTATAACTATAATTATCTATATTTAAAAAGAAGAAAGACCTCAAATTAGTAATCTAAACTTCCATGTTAAGAAAATAGCAAAAGAACAGCAAGTTAAATTTGAAACAAGCAGAAAGAAATTAAGAAATAAGCAGAGGAAACAAATAGATAACAGAAAAATAGAGAAAAAACAAAACCAAAAGTTGGTTCTTTGAAAATATCAACACAATTGGTAATCCTTTAGCTATACTGACCCTCTCTGCCCCCCACCAAAAAACACTGGAAATACAAGGCTCAAATTACAAAAATCATAAAGGAAAAATGGACCATTACTACAATCTTACAGAAATATAAAAGATTATAAAATACATTTATAATGTTTATAACACTGTATGACAACAAATTAAATAAACAAGATGAAATGGACAAATTGCTAGAAAGACAAACTATTAAAACTAAGTCAAGGAGAAATAGAAAATCTGAATAGACCTATAAAAAGTAAGGAGCTTCAATTTATCATTACATACGTTGCAAAAAGAGAAGTTCGGGCCCATGTGACTTCACTGGTGAAAATTACCAAACGTTTAGAAAAAAAATACCAATCTCTACAAGCTCTTGAAAAAGTTAAAAAAAAAAAAAAAGGAAGTCTTCTCAAGTAATTCTATGAGGCCAGTATGAACCTGATACCAAACCAGACATCACAAGGGAAGAAAATCACAGGCCAATATTCCTTAAAAATATAGATGCAAAAAGTTCTCAACAAAATATTAGGAAAGCAAGTCCAGTTACATATAAAAATGATTATACGCCATGACAAAATAAGATTTAACTCAGGAATGCAAGTTTTGCTTAACATTCAAAAATCAATCAATGTGTTACATCCTATTAATAGAATAAAGAACAAAAATCACATGACCATCTTAATAGATGCAATAAAAAAGCATTTGATAAGATACAACACTCCTCTGTTAAAAAACACTCAAACAGCTAGGCACAGATTTCCTAAACCTGATTTAGAGAATCTACAAAATGTACAGCTACCACCGTTCATAAAGGTGAAAGACTAAATGCTTCCCCACAAAGGTCAGGAATGAGACAAAGATGCCCTCTCTCGCCACTTCTATTGAATATTGTATTGAAAGTTCTAGCCACAGCAATTAGAGAAGAAAAGAAGTAATAAAAGACATTCACTTTGCTAAGGAAGAAGTAAAACTATTCATAGTTGCCAATGGCATGATATTATTATTTATATAGAATATCCTAAGGAATGTGAATGTGCACTAATACATACATTTAGTGTATGTAAAATTACATGATACAAGATTAATAAATAAAATCAATTGTATTTTTATATACTAGCAATGAAATTTCTAAAAATGAATTCAAAAAGACAATTCTATTTACAATAGCATAAAAAGAATAAATACTTAGAAATAAATTTAATGAAAGAAGTGCAGTGCTAAAAACTACAAAACATTGTCTAAAGAAATGAAAGAGGTTGGGCACGGTGGCTCATGCCTGTAATCCCAGCACTTTGGGAGGCCAAGGCGGGTGGATCACCTGAAGTCAGGAGTTCGAGAACAGCCTGACCAACATGGTGAAACCCCGTCTCTACTAAAAATACAAAAATTAGCTGGGTGTGGTGGTGCACCCCTGTAATCCCAGCTACTAGGGAGACTGAGGCACAAGAATCACTTGAACCCAGGAGGCGGAGGTTGCAGTGAGCTGAGATGGTGCCACTGCACTCCAGCCTGGGCAACAGAGTGAGACTCTGTTTAAAAAAAAAAAAAAGTTAAAATGGCAGTATTACCAAATTGATTCACAGATTGAGCATAATTTTTATCCAAACCCCAGCTAGCTTTTCTGCAGAAATTAATAACTTGATCTTAAAACTCACAAGGAGGCCAGGTGTGGTGGCTCATGTCTGTAACAGCACTTTGGAAGGCCAAGGCAGGTGGATCACCTGAGGTGAGGAATTCAAGACTAGCCTGGTCAATTTGGTGAAACCCTGTCTCTACTAAAAACAAAAATTAGCCAGGTGTGGTGGTGCGCACCTCTAATTCCAGCTACTCGGGAGGCTGAGGCAGGAGAACAGCTTGAACCTGGAAGGCAGAGGCTGCAGTTAGCCAAGATCACGCCACTGCACTCCAGCCTGGAGGACAGAGCAAGACTGTATCAAAAACAACAACAACAACAATAACAAAACTCACAAGAAAATGCAAAGGACTCCAAATTGCCAAAATGATCTTAAAAAACAGGAACCTACTTGGAGGCTCACACTTCCCGATTTGAAAACTTACTACAAAGCTACAGTGACAAAAATAGTGTAGTATAGGCATAGAGTTATTGGGAATCCAGAAATAAACCCTTACACTATCTTCAATTGATTTTAACAAGCTTGCCAAGACAACTCAATAAGGAAAGCTCAGTCTTTTCAACAGTTTTGAGACCACATGCAAAAGTATGAAGTTGGACCCCCACCTCATCCTGAGAGGTGACAGCGGGCTCGCTCTTGGCGCCTCCTCGGCCTCGGCGCCCACTCTGGCCGCGCTTGAGAAGCCCTTCAGCCCGCCGCTGCACTGTGGGAGCCCCTTCCTGGGATGGCCGAGGCTGGAGCCGGCTCCCTCAGCCTGCAGGGATGTGTGGAGGGAGAGGGACGGGCAGGAACCGGGGGTAAGCGCGGCGCTTGCGGGCCAGCCAGAGTTCCGGGTGGGCGTGGGCTTGGCGGGCCCGCACTCGGAGCGGCCGGCCGGCCCCGCAGGCCCCGGCAGTGAATGGCTTAGCACCCGGGCCAGCAGCGCGGAGGGTGCGCCGGGTCCCCCAGCAGTGCCGGCCCACCTGGCGCTGGGCTCGATTTCTCGCCGGGCCTTAGCTGCCTCCCTGTGGAGTAGGGCTCGGGACCTGCAGCCCGCCATGCCTGAGCCTCTCCCCTCTTCCGTGGGCTCCTGCGCGGCCTAAGCCTCCCTGAGGAGCACCGCCCCCTGCTCCACGGCGCCGGGTCCCATCCACAGCCCAAGGGCTGAGGAGTGCGGGCGCACCGCGCTGGACTGGCAGGCAGCTCCACCTGCGGCCGCAGCGCAGGATCAACTGGGTGAAGCCAGCTGGGCTCCTGAGTCTACTGGGGACTTGGAGAAACTTATACACCAATCAGCACTCTGTATCTAGCTCAAGGTTTGTGACCACACCAATCAGCACCCTGTGTCTAGCTCAAGGTTTGTGGATGCACCAATTGGCACTCTGTATCTAGCTAATCTGGTGGGGACTTGGAGAATCTTTATGTCTAGCTAAGGGATTGTGAATACACCCATTGGCACTCTGTATCTAGCTCAAGGTTTGTAAATGCACCAATCAGCACTCTGTGTCTAGCTCAGGGTTTGTAAATACACCAATCAGCACTCTGTATCTAGCTAATCTAGTGGGCATGTGGAGAACTTTTGTGTCTAGCTCAGGGATTGTAAATGCACCAATCAGCACCCTGTCAAAATGAACCATTCAGCTCTCTGTAAAACAGACCAATCGGCTCTCTGTAAAACAGACCAATCGGCTCTCTGTAAAATGGACCAATCAGCAGGATGTGAGTGGGACCAGATAAGACAATAAAAGTAGGCTGCCCCCCAGCCAGCAGTGGTAACTCGAGGGTTCTTTTCCCCACTGTGGAAGCATTTGTTTTTTTGCTCTTAGCAATAAATTTTGCTACTCCTTACTCTTTGGGTCCACACTGCCTTTTTGAGCTGTAATACTCACCACTAAGGTCTGCAGCTTCACTCCTGAGCCAGCGAGACCACAAACCCACCAGAAGGAAGAAACTCCGAACACATCCGAACATCAGAAGGAACAAACTCCGGATGTGCAGCCTTTAAGAACTATAACACTCACGGTGAGGGTCTGCGGCTTCATTCTTGAAGTCAGTGAGACAAGAACCCATCAATTCCAGACACAATACCATACAGAACAATTAATTCAAAATGCAGGAGAGACCTAAATGTAACATGTAAAATTATAAAACTCTTAGTAGAAAACACTGAGATAGAAAAAAATTAATAAAACGAATTTTATCAAAATTAAGACCCTAGCTGGGCGCAGTGGGTCATGCCTGTAATCCCAGCACTTTGGGAGGCCGAGGCAGGCAGATCACTTGAGGTCAGGAGTTTGAGACCAGGCTGGCCAACATAGTGAACCCCATCTCTACTAAAAATACAAAAATTAGCTGGGAGTGGTGGCACACACCTGCGATCCCACCCAAGGTCCTGAGGCAGGAGAATCACTCAAACTCGGGAGGCGGGATCACCTGAACAGTGAGCCATAATTGTGCCAATGCACTCCAGTCTCAGTGACAGAGCAAGACTCTGTCTCAAAAAAAAAAAAAATTTAAAACCCTAAGCACTTCAAAGGAATTCCACCAAGAAACTGAAAGTGACAGCCTACAGAATGTGAGAAAATATTTTTAAATCATATATATAAGGGATTACAACTCTTTTTTTCTTTGAGACGGAGTCTCGCTCTGTCGCGCAGGCTGGAGTGCAATGGCGTGACTTCGGCTCACTGCAAGCTCCGCCTCCTGGGTTCACGCCATTCTCCTGCCTCAGCCTCCTGAGTAGCTGGGACTACAGGCGCCCGCCACCACGCTCGGCTAATTTTTTGTATTTTTAGTAGAAACGGGGTTCCACCGTGTTAGCCAGGATGGTCTCCTGACCTCGTAATCTGCCCGCCTCAGCCTCCCAAAGTGCTGGGATTACAGGTGTGAGCCATGGCGCCTGGCTTATTACAACTCTTATAACTCAATAATAGAAGGACAAATAACCCGATTTAAAAATAGGGAAATTATTTGAAAAGACATTTTCCAAAGAAGATATTCAAATGGCCAATAAGTACAAGAAAAGATGCTAGACATCATTAATCATTAGGGAAATGCTAATCAAAACCACAATGAACTATCACTCCACACCAACTAGGATGGCTAAAATAAAAAAAAAAAGTTAGAAAATAACAAGTGTTGTTAAGGAGGTGGAAAAATTGGAACCCTCATATGCTGCTGATAGGATTGTAAAATGATGCAGTCCCTTTGGAAAATATCTTGGCAGTTCCTCAAAATGGTAACCATAGTTACCAAATGACTCAGCAATTCTACTCTTAGGGTCATACCCAAGAGAAATGAAAATAAATACTCACATGAAAACTTGAACATATATGTTCATAGTAGCATTATTCCTAACAGCCAAAATGTGGAAACAACCCAAATATCCATCATCTGATGAACAGACAAATAATATGTATACTATACATACAGTGGAATATTCTTCAGCATTAAAAAAATTAATTACTGATATATGCTACTTCCTGGATGAACCTTGAAAGCATTATGATACATAAAAATAGCCAGTCAAAAAACACCACATATTATTTGATTCTTTGTATATGAAGTGTCCAAAATAGACAAATCCATAGAGACAGAACATAAATTAATGGTTGTCAAGGGATGTAGGGGAAGTTAGGAGTGACTGCTAATGAGCATAGTGCTTCTTTTTGTGGTAATGAAAATGTTATAAAATTAGATAATACTAATAACTCCACAACTCTGAACAAACTAAAAACCACTGAATTGAACACTACAAAGGTGAATTTTATGGGATGTAAATTATATCTAAATAAAGTTGTTTTATAGTCACATATATAAAGCTGTTATATACGTATCATTGTATTTATTCATCCTACTGTTTATGGTTGTTTTTAGAATTTGGGTATTATAAATAAACCTTTATGGACACTTTTGTGCTTGTCATGGACATATGTACCCACTTATCTTGGATATAGAAATAAAATTGTATTTGCTGGGTCATAAGCTAAGCAACTATAGTAGACATGTTAGTAGAAAGTGAAGCAGCTTTCAAAAATACATGTATCAATTTATGTTTTTGCGAGCAACATGTGAGAATTTCAATTGATCTACCTTCTTGCCAACAATGGAATGGTCATTAAGATAAAATTTTCAGCTATTCTGGTGGATGTGCGTTAATGTCTCATTGTGGTTTCAGCGACCATTTTCACTCCTTACTTACGATATTACTTTTTCATATGTTTATGAGATATTTGCCTATTTTCTTTTGTGAATTGCTGGTTCAAGAATTTTGCCTGTTTTAAAAAATTCGTCTGAGGAATTCTTTATATACTCTCTTTAAACAGTGTCTTTGATCACAGAAGTTTTTCATTTTATTACAATTCACGCTTTCATCATTTTTTATGCTTAGGTGGTTTTGTGTTTTGTTTTGATTATCTTTAAGAAATCTTCACCAACCCTAAGCTCATGAGTATATTTGCCTGTGCTATCTTCTAGAAGATTTGTTGCTAAATATTTCTCATGGAGATCTATGATATATCAGAAATAGAATATCATTTTTACGTATGATGTGAGGTCGGGGACAAGTCTCATTTTTATCTCTAAGACTGTCCAGTTTATTCAACTATTTATAGAACATACCAACATTTCTTCACAACATTGCAATGGCACTTTTATCATAAAACAGGTGACTGTACACATGGTGGATATGTTTCTGGACTATCTGATTTGTTCCTTCAGTTTTTTTTTTTATTCTTGAGCCATTACCACACTGTTTTAATTACTATAGCTTTACAATAAGTCTTAACATCTGGATGTGAGCCCTCTTTGCTCTTTAAGATTATTTTGAGCATTTCAGACTCTAATTTGTGATTTCATATTTTAAAATTAGCTTGCCTATTTTTATCAATATATCTAAATTCTAGCATCACTGTATCCAATTGCCACCAAACTAAAAACAAAAGCACAACCTGTTATGCTTTTCATTAGCAATGCATTGAATCTAGAGATGAATGAAAGGGAATTGAAATCTTTATAACATTATCTATTTCATGAACATGGTATGCCTTTATTTATGTAGATCCTCTCTCATTTCATTCAGTAATATTTTGTAGCTTTCTGTGTAGAGGTATTTTATATCTTATATTAGTTTTACTCCTAGGTAACATATTTTTAGATGCTTCTGAAATTGGTGTTCTTTAAGCTTTCATTTTCTAATTGTTGCTAAATGTTGATATACAATTGCAAATTGACTTTTTATCAAGAGACTGCTAAATTCACTTTGTAATTCTAGCAGTTTATCTGTGGATTCTTTTGAATTTCCTACATGTTACAATTATGACATTTGTAAATAGTGAGAACAGTCTTATTTCTTCTTTTCTAATCCATATTTATTATAATACTAACACATCCAGCATAGTGTTGAATAAAAGCAATGATAGCAGGCATAATCTTTCCTTCCCAATTTAAGGGTGAAAACTCTCAATATATCATCATTAAGTCTGATGTTAGCTATAGTTTTATTTTGTTTTTATTTGTTTGTTTGTTTTGCAGATAGTGTTTATCAGATGAAGAAAGTTCCCTTCTAGTCCCAGTTTGTTAATAATTATATTTTTAAGTTACAATCAGGTGCTGAATTGCATTTAATAATTTTTCTGGATCTATTGAAACATATCTATTGAAATCAAGGGGCTTTTCTTGTTTATTATGTTAATACTGTTAATTACTTTTTTGATGTGAAATTAGCCATTTATTTTTAGAATAAACACAATTTGATCATGACATATTGCTTTATTAATATATCACTGGATTTTATTTGCAAATTTTTCTATTGGATTTTTCTGTCTCTTCATGAAAGTTATTTTCCTGTGATTTTTCTTTCTTGTATCAAGATTTTAGTATCAAGATTTTGTTAGATTTTGGTATCAAGGTTAAATTCTCTGGAAGAGTTTATGTAATAATAGCGTTATTTTTTCCTGTACTATTTGGAAGAATTCACAGGTGAAATCATGTACACTTGGAGTGTGTGTGTGTGTGTGTGTGTGTATGTGTGAGAGAGAAACGAACTGTGAAAAGTTTCTTATTAAATGTTTTAATTTATTTAATAGATACAGGATGATTTAGATTGTCCAGTCATCCTGTGTCCATTTTTCTAAGTTTTCTTTTTTAAGGAATTTTGCAATTTCATTGAAATATTCAAGTTTATTAGCAGTACATGTGACAATATTCTCTAGCCTTTAAAATATCTATAGGGTGATGTCACCTTTTAATTTCTAATACTGATAATATTAATTTTTTCTTGATTAGAGTTGCTAGGGCATTGCCAATTTTATTAATCATTTCAAACCACCAAGTTTTAAATACTTTCTTTATTTTATATTTTATTGATTCCTGTTTTTAACTTTATCATTTACTTCCTTTTGTTTTCTTGCATTTATTTTGCTGTTCCTTTTTTAGAATCTCAAAATGGAATCTGAGCATTGATTTTCAGCATTTATTCTTTACTAAATGCACTTATGACTATACATTTCCTGCTATGCATTTTAGCTGCAAGCACTAGTTTTTGTATACACATTTTTGCTAACATAACTCAAATATTTTCTAATTTCCATTGCAATCTCCACTTTGGTCCGTAAGTAATTTAAAAATGTATTGAAAATTTCCTAACACTGAGGATTTTTGCGTCCTTTTCTGTTAATAGTTTAATAGTTTTTAGCTTCAATCTATTGAGGTCAGAGAATATACTCTGTATGATTTAAGTGATTTGAAATCTACTGTTAGTTGCTCCAACTATACATAGTTGATTTTGAGCAATGTTCCATGAGAATTAGAAAAATGTTTACATTCTGCGGTTGTTAGGTATAGTGTTCTTCACCATCAATTACTAAAATAGGTATTAAAAAGATCTTCAACTATGGTTCTCTAATTTGTCTATTCTATATTTTATTTCTGTAATATCTTTCTTCCTGTATTTTAAGGCTATATTATTACCTTTAAATTTAAATTTAAAATTCTACTGATCCCTTTATCATCATGAAACTATTATTTTCTCTACTAATACCTTTTGCTTTAGAATCTGCCTGATATGAGTACAGCTGCACCATTTTCTTTTGGTTATATTTTTATGTTATGTCTTTCATACTATTACTTTCAACCTTCAAGAGTCCTTATATTTAAAATGTATATCTTATAAGCAGCATATTGTTGGGTATTATTTTTATTATTTACTCTGATCATCTTTGTCATTTAATTGGAGTATTAATACCACTAGTTTAATCCAAGTATTGACATATTTGGATTTATGGTACCATCTTACTATTTTCTCTATTTTACTGTTTTCTGTTTTTCTTTCTATTAGGTTAATCAAATGTTTATTATTCCATTTACTAGATTGTTAGTTATAGATTTATTATTTTATTGGTTACCCTAAAATAATAGATTCAAATATTAATCCTTGCTTATTACAGACTACCTTAAGTTAGTACATTTATTACTCCTTGAATAGTGCAAGGACCTTACAACACTCTAACTTCATCTATTCCTTGTTATGAATGGAATGTCCGTAATGAAATTTGTGTATTGAATCCCTAATCCCTAGCATAATAGTATTTGGAGGGGGGTGCTTCAGGATGAGCCCTATGATAGAATTAGTGCCCTAATAAGAAGATAAAGAGATCAGAGTCCTTGCTCACTTGCACACTCATGCACTCTCTCTCTGTCTCTTCCCATGCAAAGTCAAAGCCAGAAGGTGGCTGGCTGGCTGCAAGCCAGGAAGACAGCCCTCACCAGGAACTGAATCTTTTGGCACCTTGATCTTGGACTTCCCAGCCTCCAGAACTTCGAGAAATAAATGCTTGTCGTTTAAACCACACAATCTATGATATTTTGTAATAGCAGCCTGAACTGACTAAAATACTCTCTTTTTACTTTTTGTGCAATTGCTGTCATGTATTTTAATCTTACATCTATTTTTAAAACCTGTAATACATTACTGCTATTGTTTATATTTAGATTTACTCATATATTTACCCTTCCCTGTGTTATTAATTTTTCTGCAGTTCCATGTTTAAATATGAAACATTAAGCTTAGGTCTAGAAACTAGAAAAAAAAAGAAAACAAAAATAAAAACGAAAAAAATCCTTACATTCTCTTTTAGTGTGAGTCTACTAGCAACAGACTTGCTCCAATTTTGTTTGTCTGAAAATATACTTATTTAACATTCCTTTTTGATGGATATTTTTATGATTATAGAATTCTTGCTTGGCAATTGTATTCTTTCAGAACTTTGAAGATGTCATTCCATTGTTTCCATAGTTTCCATTGGAAAGTCAGCACTAAGTCTTATTTTTACTCCTTTGAAAGTAATGTGTATTTATTCTCTATTGTTAGTATTTCATTTTTATCATTGTTTTTCAGATGTTGGACTACAATGTTCTAGGTGTATTTATAAACAAATTTATCCTGAATACAGATTGTGGAGCTTCTTGAATTCATGACTAGATTTCTTTCATTAGTTTTGTAAAATTAGTTGCCAACAGCTTTTCAAATGTTGCTTTTGTTCAATTAATGTTCTCCTATCCTTCTGGGATTCCAGTTACAGATACGTCAGAACTTAAATTGTCCTACATATCTCTTATGATCTCTTCTGTATTTTCTATCCTTTTTACTCTCTATCCTTAAATCTGAGTATTTACTATGTCCTTCCTCTCAATTCATTATTTTTTTTTTGCCGTGCTTGATCTACTATATACCCATATTTTAATTTATTATAATTCTTCTAATTTTGGTTACAGCATTTCCATTTGGCCCTATGTTTTACGTGGCTGGTAATTTTTTAATGAATGCTGGGTATTGTGAAAAATTGCAAAAACTCTCCATTAAGTTATCTTTTTCCAGAAAGAATATAACTTGCTCCATCAGTCGTATAATATATGGATTTATCATACCAATTTAGTCATGTTGGATTTCAGATTTTAGGGGGCTCATCAACTTCCAGTTTGTCCTAAATCTTAAAGCTTAGCCTTTACTTTGCAAAGAATAGTCTTCTTGAGTTCTCATCTGAAATCCTGAGGTATTTTACTTGGACTCTCCCTCCTTGGTGGTCCCCAAATTCCCATCTCTGGTTCCCAAGGTCTCCAAAATTGGCAAAATCTTGGCTAAACTCTTTAACCTCCAGCTTGCTCCTTTACCCTTAATTTCTCTACATTTCACCCTGCATAGTTGAGGAGTCAGCACTGCCTTGAAGGGATATTGCACAGAATTTTGGACTCCCTTTTGGTTTTCTCAACTCCTGGACCTTAGTTCCTCAAGTCTTAATCACTTTGGCACCTCAAACTCCAACATCTGTCTCCCTAACCCAGTGAAACTACATAAGCCCAGACTGCTACTTTCTTCTTAGCCTCTATTACTCGTGCCATGTATCTGCAAGTACCAAAGTGAAAAGCTTAGGTGAATGTGGGGCTCAATTCAATATACTTCTCTCCTCTCTGGGTTCTTTGTCCCCCCAGTACTGTCTTCCTTAGTTCCTCTCTAGTGGCTTCAAATAGTTGTTGAATAAATTATTTTAAAATAGTTGTTCATAATAGGAGAGTTAATGTAATACAAAGTATTCTATCATAGCCAGAAGCGGAAATAGAATTATTTACTTTTAATTTGCAATTTAAAAAGAATCTACTTTCAATAATCTTCTCATTTGTGGTTTTAAAATTACAGAGTCAAAATTGAGTGAAAAACAATTATGTACCTGGGTGGACTTGAAATAAGAGAAATGAGTCAGGAAGGCATTTATTCAAATAATAAATAAAATTTGTACAATTGCTATTTTTCTATGATTAGCCTAAATAACAAAGGGTAAATTGGATGCCTGAATTATCTTGGTGTTTATCTGATACAGCAAATTCACCATTCTGTGTAACCCAGGTCCAATGATAGCATTGAAAAACAATATCAGACATTCTTTTGGTTTTATAACTATAAAGTTTAGTGCTTTTTCTGTAACAGTTATTTTGTATTACTTTTCAAATTGATACCAGTTATTTCCTCTTTAACAAAAAGGCAAGTTTAACAGTTCTGTGGCCGGGGGGTGGTTTTATTTGTTTGTTTGTTTTTGTTTTTTGTTGTTGTTGTTGTTTGTTTGTTTTAACTAAGTAAAAGAAGTAGGTCTTTTTACTGTGTTGCATAGGTCTTCTGGATGGGACATGCTCCATTTAGAGTTCTTTTTCCTGCTTGAAGGAACAATTAATATGCTTACTACTTGAGAAACAGCATGGCTCATTGGACTAAGCTTTGAGTCAGTAGTTTGGAGTTATAATCCCATTTCTGCTACGGATTCAATTTGTGCCCCTGGGCAAGCCATTTAACCTTTGTATTTGTTCAGCAGAAAATAGGATAAAATTATTACTTCATTTCAGGAGTAGCTAATAATAACTGCTTTTGAATATAAAGAAATGCACATAATGTATTTTGACCAGTTAAAATCACTGCAAACATTCCTACAATTTAGTTTCCCCTAAAGCTTCAGTATGGCTTTGATTAAAATTCTTCTGATTTAAGTTAAAATGAAGCACAATAAAGTGCAGTTAAGTGTTTTGTTTAATTTGCATTCTTAAACAGGTGGGCAAATCCAGTGTAGTTAAGCCTAAGAAAACAAAAATTAAAAAAAAAAAAAAAGAAAAGAAAAAACAATCGCTCTTTCCTTACAGGCTTTAAAAAAAAAAAATGGTAAAAAGTACTCTATATCATTCTCTGTCACCAAAGTGCAAAAATTTACATTCATACCAAATAATATTAAACTTACACCTATTATTTTTCTTTTCTTATTTATAATTCTTTAGAAATAGAGTATTAAATAATAATTATTCCTAAAATGTTATGATAATTTTATCTCAGCACAGATTGACTCATCCAACACCCTGGATACTTTGACATCCCAATTCTTGGACCACCTCATCACCAGTGACCATTTTTTCTATCACTACTATGGTAACTCCCTGGCCATTGTCATTATCAGACACAATTCCTCTCCAAAACCTTGTTAATTTCTAGTCTCTGGCCATAGCTCCTATCCTTCTAGCTCACTTGCTTAAATATCTGCCAAGAAGCAATGGATCCTCCTACTGATGTCAGTTCTCTAATCCAGCGGTCCCCAACCTTTTTGACACCAGGGACCGGTTTTGTGGAAAACAATTTTTCCATGGGGGTATTGGATAATTTCAGGATGAAACTGTTTGACTCAGGTTATCAGGCATTAGAGTCTCATTAGGAGTGCACAATTTAGATCCCTTGCATATGCAGTTCACAATAGGGCTGGCGAGAATCTAATGCTGCTGCTGATCCCCGGAGGTGGAGCGCAGGTGGTAATGCTTGCTGGCCTGATGCTCACCTCCTGCTGTGCGGCCTGGTTCTTAACAGGCCACAGACTAGTATAGGTCTGCGATGTGGGACTTGGGGACTCCTGATCTAATCCATTCTCCTATCAATTCTTTCTATCCACATAGCCTCTTCTAGACTGTCCTTTCTTTTTGTCCAACTCAAATTCTGTGAGTCATTGTTCCAATGGCTCCCATATAATTCCCATAACTTCTTTACCCCTCACTTTCTCAAAATCACTTACTTAATAAATCCAGCCATGTAAGAACTCAATCATCTGCCTTCTCCGTGCCTGCCAACACCTCTACGTTGCAGAAAATAATCACACAGCTGGGTAGACTGGAGTCACCAATCTCAAATGGGCACTCAACCCTGGCAATTCCACTATAAAGCCTCTCTCTCCAGTCTCACTTAGGACTCTTTCATACCTTTTCATCATGCCCCTTTCACTTTAAGGTGAAAACCTTGCTTTACATGTCAGAGAAAAGAAGAGCCCTCAGCTGGGATTGCCATTATGCTCCAATGTTCGGTTCTGTAAACTCATCTGCTTCTGCAAACTCATCTGCTTCTGCTTGCCCTTCCTGCCTCAAAAGGAGGAGGAGGAGGAAGAAGAGGAAGAGGAAGAGAACAACCACTCTCTTCTCAAAGGCCAACCTAACTCTCTCATGTTCTGAAGCTTGTCCTTTCTTGCCTTCACAAGTATTTTGCCCATTCAGTTTTCCTTTCTTCTGCATTTTCAATCTTTCCTCCTATGGCACCATACCTATGAGTTTACATATATAATTTATGATGTCTCCTCTGAAAAGAGAAACAAAATAAAATCCTCTCTTGATTGTGCATTTCCCTTTAGCCACCACCCCATTTATTTGATTTTTTTAAATAGCCAAATGTCTTTAAGGCTTTGTTATTTTTGTATTTTGTTTTTATTTATTTATTTTTGAGACTGAGTCTTGCACTATCGTCCAGGCTGGAGTGCAGTGGTGCGATCTCAGGTCACTGCAGCCTCCGCCTCCCAGGTTCAAGCAATTCTTGTGTCTCAGCCTCCTGAGTAGCTGGGACTTCAGGCACGCACTGCCACGCCTGGCTAATTTTTGTATTTTTAGTAGAGACAGGGTTTCGCCATGTTGGCCAGGCTGGTCTTGAACTCCCAACCTCAGGTGATCTGCCCACCTTAGGTTCCCAAAGTGCTGGGATTACAGGCATGAGCCACTGCGCCGGGCCAAGGCTTTGTTATTTTTGATGTTTCTAAATTTTCATTTACCATTGACTTCAAATATTTCCATCTAGCTTCTGCTAAAACTACTTTCAAGGATGTTAATTCCTTCTATGATGCCACATCCAATGGCTTACATTTTTGTTTTTCATTTTGCTGTATGTCTCTATCGGATTCAACACTGACCCTATCTTCCTTTTGTGAAACACGCCCACATGTGACATCCGTCGCCCCTGGTTTTTATTTAATCTCTGCCTGCCACTTCTTTATCCCCTTTCCTGGCTTTTAATCCTCCACTTGATTGCTACATTTATTCTTCTCTCTCTCTCTCCTCCCTATTTAGATACTCTCATTCATTTCTATGGCCTTAAATACCATTTGCATGGTGACAACTCCCAGATTTATATCTGTAGCATTGCATGTTGCTCCAAACTTCAGTCACGTAGATCCACTTGCTTATGTTACACTATCTCCATTTGAGTGTCTCACAGGCATCTTAAATATAACATTTTTAAAACTAAGTATTTTCACTATTCATCTTTCCAATTTCTGCCCTATAATATCTCTTCCCTTTAAATCTTCCCCATATCAATAAATGACATGACCTCTACTCATTTGCTCAAGAAAAAAAGTAGGAGTCATCCAATCCATCAGCATGTCTTCCAGAATATATCTTAAATCTGCCCACTTCCTTCTGTATTAGTTTACAATATTATCGTCTCATGTCTGACTTACTATAATGCCCTTCTAACTAATTTCTCCGCTTGCTTTGGTAACCTCTTGCAACTCGTTCTTCATGTAACAGCCAGAGTGATCTACTAAACATAAGCCAGACCACACAACTCCCTGACTTAAAACCCTCCAATGGATTGCTACTTCACTTTGAATAAAATCCAAGGACCTTACTTTGGTCCATAGGCTGTTGCATGGACTGGAGCCTATTTTCCTCTCTCTCCTTATTCATACTACTCTCCTAATTGCCATGAGAGCCTTCTTTCAGTTTCTTAAATACATCATCTGTACTGTTTCTTCTTCACTAGCTTCTTTCATGGTTATCTCCTTTTCATCTTCCAGGTTTCAGTTGAAATGTCACATCCTTTGTAAGTCCTTCCTGAATCATTTTCTCTAAATAGTTCCCCTCTTCCTATACTATCCCATTGCTCTTTATCTTAGCATTCTGTCTGCTTTTATAAATAATCCTTTCCATTTGGGAATTACTTGTTTACTGGCTGTTTTCCTGTCTTCTTCGTGATACTGTCAGCTCAGTGATGGTGGAGACTATATCCATTTCATTCGACACTTGTACAACCAAAATCTAGCACAAATTCTGTATCTGATAATTACTTGTTGAATAGATGAATGCCACAGAGAGTGTAATGAAAATGACTGACCCTTATGTGGACTTGTATTATAGAAAATTTCAGGACTATAACATCAAAGCTTTATTCGAGATTTTAAGCACTTGTCAAAATGGATGAAGGCCATTTTTTTTTGAGAAAGAATTGTGTATATAGTCTGCTTTCTACTCCAGTAGGAAATCCATTCTTAGATCCTCTATGATGAATTTCCAATCTGTGAGACCTTTGTGAAGTCAAAGTACAATAAAATTGAATTACTAAGAACTTGAGGCCGGGCACAGTGGCTCACACCTATAATCTGAGCACTTTGGGAGGCCGAGGTAGGCAGATCACTTGAGCTCAGGAGTTCAAGACCAGCCTGGGCAATATGGCAAAACGCCGTCTCTACAAAAAAATGGAAAAAAAAAAATTAGCCCGGTATGTTTGGCACACGTCTGTAGTCCCAGTTACTCAGGAAGCTAAAGTGGGAGGATCACCAGAGCCTGGGAAGTCAAGACTGCAGTGAGTGGTAATTGCATCACTGCACACCAGCCTAGGTGACAGAGTGAGACCTATCTCAAAAATAAAAACAAAAAACAAAACACTTGAAATTAAAACAATAAAATATAAGCTCAATTATTTTATAGTTTCAACAGACGTAATTATCAAGTTTCTACAAAACTTTGTGAACAATTGTTGTCTGTGTCCATACATATCTCATTAAATATTAGTAACAAATCTTTTGAGACCAGCACTGGCTTAAGACCTACACTTTGAGTAGTGCAGGTTTACTCCATCATCCTTCCATTTGATATTGGTTTAAGGTAATAGATCTCAAATCCTGAACTATTCTTTGTCGGGTATGCTAAATGCCCAACCTCCTGCAGAGTATTTAGTATCCTAGTCCTAGGACACTAAAAACCAGTGCCATCACCCTTACTAGTTATTGTCCAAACCAACACCTTTCCCACCTCCTACCCACCAATGGGGGAGCATCAGCAACGCCATAATTTGGAACCACTTGGGGGTGTGGGTTCTGACAGTTGCTCAGTAGTGTTAGCGTAGGCACTGTGGTTATCAGCCTGGGGAGGAATTGAGTCCTAGCACCTGTTCAAGAAAATTAAGCACCTGTGGTAATGAATTTAAAGTGGAGGGTGGGAAAGAATCCTTGCCAAATTATGCCTATTAGTTTTGTTTCCTACACATTTCTTGAATTTTGAAGGGGGCGATAGTGGGGAGAAAAAGTCAAATATTACCTTTGGGATGTTGGGATGTTGAGATTTATATTACATCACAGTTTCTCTTAACTCTTCTAACTCACTTTCTCCTTCACCTAAAATCTTTTGTCTTAACACTTTTCCCCTTATCCATTCCCACATTCTTATCCTCCTCGATATGTCTTTTTGACCCCATTGGCACAGTGCAATGCTATACAGATGGACGTTAAGTAGAAGGGGAGGAATAAATAGCAGCAAAAGCTAGGATGTAGAGAATTTTCTTCCCACCTTGGGCACTTAAGGAGAGGGGGATATTTATAAAAGATACATCGATCATTTCTCCCTTCCTTGGACTCACCAAGTTACCAAATTTATTCCCCATGCATTATGCCTTACAGCGTTGGCATATAAGAAATTCGTTACTTGTGCCACTTCAAGAATGCCCATGTCATCTGAACACAGATTTTTATAGTAGCTAGAAAGCAGCACGAAAGCTTCTAAGTCCTTCATTTAAGGGGAACTTAACATCCTCCATACTCCAAAGGTTTTCAGTCATCTTCCTGAAGATGAAGGAAAAGAGATTAGACGTGTGTTGCTGAAGTGTCTGTTGGTGGGTCCAAACGCAAGTTCAATTATAACCCAGTTCATTTCCAGCTCTACTTCAGAACTGAAGATTTAAACTTCTCCACATCTTTTTGAGCCATGACTTTGTTAACACAAAAAGAAATCTTTTATTCTGGAAGCAGTCTGTGTCACTTATTTACCTCTACCTCCTCATCCAGCCAACACTCTAGATTGAACTGGCTTCTCAAGATTCTTCCACCTGGGAATAATTTTCAGTTCAATTGAACTTGGCAGGACTCTGAACTTCAAATTCTAGCATTGGAGTGGCCATAAGGCTAGGTCTTGGGGCTGGGAAGTGAATGAAGTTAGCTAAAGATGTTTATCTCATAATGCCCGATGCTCTGGTCGATTAGAATTCATGTTTCCTTTTCCTTTCCTCTCCTTTCTCATTTTCCTTCCCAAACCAGGTTTTACACCTTGCAATGTGTTAGGAAGTGGTTGTTGGATTTATGGATTTTAAAAAGTGATTCTAGAAAACAAGGAGGAAAGAAGGGCAATGGGGTTAGCTGTAGCTACCTCTTTTTAAGCTTTGAAGCTCCGGTGGAAATTAGTCACAATTCCTTGTCTTTTTAGGTTACATTATTTTTGAATTAAAAAAAAAAACGAAGGGGTAATTGAACACATTTAGGAACAGAATAGCTGCGTTACTGGTTGTTAATACTTTTCCCATGGGGTTTTCTGTCTTTGTTAGAAAGGAATGTCCTCGTGAAGACTGGCTGCTTCTCTTTAGTACTACAGAAAAATAATTTTCATGCTCTCGTTCTTATAATGGCAAATTTAGTTGGTAAGATAAGGAATATATTTACAAGTTTCAGTTGTATTACTCGCTATTCCAGTTATTCCACTTGCTCAGGCTTCACAATTAAAGAAATACTGAAGTGATGCACAGATAAGACAAGAGTGGGGCCTGACCCTAACTGACATCAAATTCTCTAATGAACTTCAAGTGTTTCTAGAGTAAAATATACTCTTCCATTCCAGAACCGTTAGTACAACTCTTAATTCAACCAGAAAATGGAAGGCTTACACATATTCCTTTGACCAACTCATAAAGATAGGAGAACTACATGAGATCATTCAGACACCTTTAATACCGACTTGGGACTTTGTAACTGTTCCAACATCAGTCAAATTCTGAGCATCACGATTTGAGAACTGGCAATCTTGGAGAGATTTAAAGAGCCACGTTGATTATTAATAACCCTGATAAGTTGTAGAAATGGGCAGATAATTACAGGATGAACTTAATAGACAGAAATACAGAGTAATTTAGAGGAAGTAAACTGCTGTAAATATAAGTGAGAAGACTTGGCTTTGTGGGAAAAGGTGGGAATCAGTAAACCACAAATGAAACATGAATTAGCCATATTATACAGTTGTTTTATTAAAAACCAAAACTTTGTAGAGTACATTAACAGAGACTGTATTTAAGAGAAAGGCAGTCATCCCTTAGTCATTTATACAATTATTTATTAAGCACTTATGTGCTAGTTGATACTTCTGGGTGCTGGAATAAAATAAGGAAAAAATCAAGATCTCTACCTTCACGAAGCTCACTAAAGTGTGGTAAATGACAGAGCAACTACCTTCAATAGTCTCTAGTTTGTATTCTGCAACCAACTGAATACAGCAAATACTAAAAGCTACTTGAGGTAGGGATCCATCCTATTTTTACCTGTTGGATCCCATTCCGTGCCTAGCACACCAGCTTGTAAGCAATCGACATGGATTAAGGGGTAAAAACAGGCCCTTAAATAGCTAAAATTTTGACAAGTAATCACTTGTCTGATCATCAAATATGTCGTTCGAAATCCTCATTTTTTTCTTCAAAGCGCAGTAAACAAGTATTTGCGCACCTATTACGTGCAAAACAGTTTTCAACACAATGCTTTGTGTGTAAAAGGAACGGCGGGAATGGATTCAAGTTGCGCATCGTGATAAATGGCGTGAATATCCTGAGCGGGTGGACAGCCCTTCCTCCGTGAGTTTTTTCTTTTTCTTTTCTAGTCACCAAGACAGCACGCGTGTGCAGAAGCTGCAGCGGTGGGACGCAGTGCTAAGTCTGGGGGCGCACACACCAGCTCGCGCGTCGCGAGCTCGCCTGGGCAGCTCGGCGGGCGCGGCGAAACAGCTCCCACGTCCGCCTTCCACCGACTCCTCGGTATCAGAGCGGACGAGGCGTCCCCCCAGAGGAAAGACTGGGCGCCGCAGACGCCCCTTGGAGAAGTCCCTGGCCACTCGCCCCACCTCGGGGTCCTCTTCCTCTTGGGCTTCTCCTGACCCTTTGGGTGGGCGCTCCAGACAGGCCCGTCGGACGCGATTTGGAAACGGGTCGTGCCCGGCCTAGCCCGCATCTACTCGCCCGGCCACAGCCCAGCCACAGCTTAGGGACTTTGAGGCGCCCGCGCCCCTTTGTCGCGGTATCTCTAGCCCAAGCAGGCCGGACGCCGAGGCCTCGCGGTATCGAGCCTCCGTCCGCCCCGCCTCCTCGCCCTCCACTCCGCCCCGCCCTCGCTCTCTCACCCCTCCCCCGCTCCCGCCTCGCTTCCCCGACAATCTCCTCGCGCTCCCGGCCCGGCACGCGCGCTGCGCCCGGCCGCCGCTGCCGCCGCCGCCGCCGCCGCCGCTGCCGCCGAGCGTTCCTCCGCTGCGCCTGGCTTCCAGCTTCGGGCCGGAACCGGAAGTTTGGGGGGCGGAGCCCGGCGGAGGCCAGGAGACCGAAAACGCGGCCGAGCCCGGAGCCCGGAGCTGGAGCCAGAGCCTGGACCAGAACTTGGCCGCCGCCTGCACCGCCGCCGCCGCTGCCGCCCGCCGCCCCTTCCCCGCGCCGCAGCCGCCTCGCCGCCACCGCCGCGAGCTCGGCCGCCAGTGGTCCTCGGACTTTAGGTGTCTGGGTTGAAGGTCGGTCCGGACATCGGACCCAGTCAGTTCCCAGACTGTCCGGGCGGCAGCGGACGCCGCTGCCGCCGCCGCCTCTTCGTCGCCTCAGCCTGGCGTTTTGTTCCGAGAGACGGGAGAGGCGAGCGGAGCTGACAGTGATTTTGACAGTGATTTAAACCCGCTTTTGTTGTTGTTGGCTTTTCGTTGTTTGGTTTTGTGTGTTGTGCGTGTGTGTGGCGGTTTTTCCCCCGTGGTGCATTTTATTTTTTATCGTTGTGCTCTTTTTTTTCTTTTTTTTTTTTAACCCAGTGAGCGTTTTTTTTTTTTTTTTTTTTTTTTTTTGGTCTGGGCTTCCGAATATGTTTTATGACGGTTGATTTTACACCAGGAGGTTTGTCTCCGAGGAAGACCCAGGGAACTGGATATCTAGCGAGAACTTCCTCCGGATTCCCCGGCGCCTCGGGAAAATGGGAGCTGCTGCAAAGTTGGCGTTTGCCGTCTTTCTTATCTCCTGTTCTTCAGGTAGGTGCAGGGAGCGCGGCGCGGTGGGGCTGCTCCTGCGGCCGCGGCGGCCGCTGCTGGGGGCCGCGGCTGGTGTTGAGTCGGAGAGTCCAGTGGAGCCTGGGGAGGTTGCCCACTCCCTGCGCCCCTCGGCTGCCACCGCCCCCCCCCCCCGCCCCCAGGTCTGATTGTGATCTGGAAACCTCCATGCATTTTTCTCTTTTTGAGTTGGGTCGGCGAGCTGATAAGAGTGAGTGCTGTGTTGTTGTGGAAGTGAGAAAGTCATGTTTTGTGGCCATAACACTGGATGACAGCGCTGGTTGGGTTGCAATTAAGCCGCAAATACCACAAGTGACAATTTATGCAAAGGTTGAGATCTGAAAGGAGTATTTAGTGTGGGCTCCTCCAAAACAAGGGTTGCTTTTTGTCATCGTTTAATTAGTGCTTCACCGGTGAATATCACGACATAGATCAAGCCAGTTGCTGCTTAATTTTGGCTGTGGGAAACAATACATCCTATCAGCAATTTAATCTGGGTCTCCCCTCACGTTTTCTTCAACTTCAGCGTCCAGCAGTGTTAAAAATAGTTGTAGTTGTTGTTGGAGTATTAACTATAACCCAGTGCAGAAGAGGTATGCCGCTTGGTATTGGTAATGTGCTGGCGTTCAACCACCATTTGTGTGCTCTTTTGGGGCATAGATTTTGCTTACCTACGGAATACTTATTTTAAACGCTTTGTATTGAAGCATTGTTTTCGGTTTAGAACAACCCATGTGAAATTGTTTTTGTTAAATATAGTACACTCATAAAATAGGTTTTAGCTCAAGGTTGGGGGAATAAACGGGCCATTTTATATTGGAAATTTTGATTTTGTGAGGACGTTCTATGGTTGCAACCAGTGGTTGGAAAAACTATCTAGTCTTTTGTATTTGAAATTCTATAAATAAATACAGCATCTAGCTGAAAGGTGTGCAGATGTACATAACAGGAGAGTTAGTTCAATAGATGAAACATTTTAAATAAGTCTCATTGGATCTATTTATTGTAAAATTTAATATTCAGTTACAAGCTTGTGGCATAGAATTACGGGGGACTCTTGGAAACGGGGGCGAATTGACAGGTTTCATGGCCATGTCTTTATCTCGTTTGCCACAGGAAAATTAAAGGGTGGTAGTCTTCTTTGTGTACCTCTGTGGGGTGTGTGTGTGTGTGTTTGTGTGTTTGTGTCCGTCTTCCCCACCCCCCTTTAAATATAATCTTTTGTAATGTATAGAATTTTGCTGAATGGTACATTTCCTTGTGGTTAATAAATGGATAAAGTCTAGTCTTATGTCTGTAGTGGTATTGATCAGTTCCGGGTGGGCTGAATGTGTTGTGAAATGGCGATCATTGCCAGAGATTAACCAAAAGAATCATGTCTGTTTAAATGGAAGAAGGAACATGCTTAAGGCAGGCTGACAGTTCTTTTTGTGCACGGTTTGGGAAGGAAGCTAAACAATGGTGTGTCTGAAATGAATGAAGGCCTTGATAACATTAAACCTCTTGCTTTTGTGACATGACTTAACCATGTAGTTTTTATCTTTCCAGTAGTACTCTTTTTTCCTCTGCTTCTATATGTTGTGGCTGGTGAACTCCTCTTGTTCAAATCCCTTGTTCTGATCTCTTGCCCTTGAGGAGGAGGGGCATCATGGCCACTGACCAAGGAATTGTGGACATTATTCCCTCTCAAACCCACCTGAGTCACACTAATTGATGAAGGAGGTTATTCTTGAGCAGTCTCAAGGTATTACTTCTTGAAAAGCAGGCTGTCGCTACAGATCTTACAGCTTCTTCTGCTTGGTTTGGTAGTAAAAATAATTGAGCATTAGTTTCTTGTGGGATTATTTTCATTGGGCCAGGATTATTTTCAGTGGGCCAGGAGGTTAATAGCTATAATTTTGAAATAAAGTGATTTTGTTGCTGTAGGGCATATAGATATTCCACTTATATTAAACTAATATTATGTTGTTGCATAGGCTTTTTAAGATGAACATTCCCAGTTGAACTAAAATATGTGATTCTGTTGAAGATAATTGAAATAATCATAAAGACCTTAATCCATATTTATACATGAACAATTTGAGTACTTAAAATGTCTGATTTTTAAAAGCCTTTTGTTATGGATCAGATGCACTCTAAAAAAGGATTATTATGTTTCTCCAACTAATTGATTTTTCTACAAAATGTGTGATCTGACATGTTGGAAGCATGAGGTGACTATTTTTATGAGAATTTTAAAAATTCTCAGGTTGTCAGTTTTTCATTTCTAGATATTTGATTTTTTTTAAAAATCAAAATGGGAAACAATAGTAAGGAACAGTTTTGTTCCAGGTGTTTAGGAGGGATGTTTACTATTTCGTGGACTCTGATTTTTCAGTTTCCATCCCATGGTATGTATTCTGGAGACTGATTATGCAGACTATTCCTGTAGGATATGGCCAAGTGTATAATTTCCTCCTCTCTCTCATTCCAGGGGAAACATTTTAAATTTTGCCCCTATCCTGGAGTGCCTTCAGATTACCTTTGATTTTGAATTTTTTCATTCCTCTCATACTTTCTCAGATTCTGTTTCAAAACATAAATCTTAGTTTTCTTTTTATAGCATTGTGGTTTATTTGTGTCTTTCCCCACAGTTTGTTGAAGTATGAGAATGACTTTAATACTTGCTTTAGTACTTAGATTTATCCTATCTAGAGTTATGCAGCTATTGTGGTATTTGAGTTGCATAGAAGTAAGTTGAGAATTCCTTTGGATTTTGTGGGAGCTGGAGCAGTATGGTCAATGTATTTGATGAAAGAGGAAATGGAAATATGGTAATTATGTTTTCTTCAGTTCAGCTAGGCAGTACTGTGTATGTGTGAATGTATGTGTGGTTGGAGGGGGAGTTAGCATTACAGAGAATCTTTTGGGATTCTTTTGAACTTTGATTAACAAGTGATGGATGATAAATACTTTGTTTTCTAAAAGGCAGAATCTCTTATAAATGGTGTCTGTGGTCAAATTCAAATATAATACATTGAAACATGGAGACTAGAAACAAAATGAAACAAAATTCTCCCTCCATTCATTTTCTATTTTTTTTTCCTGTTTATGATCTAAGCCAACAGTTCTCAAGCTGGGGTGAGTCCCCCTCCCTACTTCCCCAGATCCCCATCCATGGGACATTTGGAGACATTTTTGGTTGTCACAACAGGGGACGGGGTGTGCTACTGGCATCTAGTTGGGTAGAGGGCAGGGATGCTTCTAATCGTCCTAAAATACATGGTACAGCCTTCCACAACAAAGAGTTAGCTGGCTCAATATGTCAGTAGTGTAGAGGTCAAAAAACCCTGTTCTAAGAAAACCAAATACCACATGTTCCTATAAGTAGGAGCAAAATGATGAGAAAACATGAAAACAAAGAACAGAACAGCAGACACTGGGGTCTACTCAAGGATGGAGGGTGGGAGGAGGTAGATGAGCAGAAAAGATAACTATTGGGTACTGGACTTAATACCTGGGTAATGAAGTAATCTGCACAGCAAACCCCATTATACGAGTTTACCCATGTAACAGACCTTCACATGTACCCCCAAACCTAAAATACAAATTAAAAAAAAAGGAAAAACTCAGTTCTAAACTCTTAAATTTTAAAAGCAGTAGTTTATTAGTAAAAGGGCTCTGCTCTCTTCCCCCTAAAGTTAGTAATCTAAATTTTACAAGTACATGGTATTGATGATCTCCAGGTAACGTTGTATTGAAAGATTTTTATCTTTTCATTATCTTTTAAATTAGAATATGATTAAATTAGAGAAACAGACTATAGATACGCACATTCTTTCATCCTTGATGAAATGCTTGAGAATTCACCAGTATAGTATAATATTTTATACTATAATAAAATATTCCAATGACTTATGGATAAACTCTCCTATCACCGATTTTGATAGAGTGCTCATGAAGACTGCATGTTCCTGGACATAATGAATGATTGGTTAAGGTATCAAGTTTAATTATATTTGCTTTAGATCCAGGATTTTCTTTGCCATGATATGATCTTTAAGGATATTTGCCTTTATTTTTACTGACATCATTGGGCTGCCTTATGGCGGTATTCGTGTGTGTGTGTAACATGTTGCCTGAAATATGTTCACTATTACATGTTCCCTGAATAGTTTCAAGGTAGAAATTCTGTTTTTTTAAAAAAGATATTTCTTTTGTCTAGCTAACTTTAATTTCAAGAAACTTTTAACCTAATCTCTTAATTACATAATTATCTTGAGAATCACTAGCTGGGTTTTGGTTACCGTTAGACTAATTCATGATACAGTAAGTAATATTTTATGATCTATTGCAGATCGTTTCCCTTTTTAAGGCTAAATCTTGACCATAATTAATAAAATGCTTACCTTGTTTTGAACTCTGGTTTTAAGGGAGTTAACCTAGCCAACCAAGATAAGAATTACAGTGAAACTCTTAGCAAATTAAGGAGCATTATACCATAGAGAGGAAAATTCTGAAGTCATTCCCACAAATGGTGTCCAAATGAGCCTCACAGTGTCTTTGTAACACACCTCTCCATACCCTTCTCTCTGATACTGACATTTTCGCCTTTTGGGTCCACCAGACTCACTGTTCTTAAGAGAAGCACAACTAAACCAAATGAGATTTTAGTAATCTCTAAATTGTTTCTTTAGATTCCAAGACTTTATTTTGTTGCATTTTGACTTTTTAAAGTGCTACTATGATTTTCTCATCTTTGATATTTCATGAGTCCAATGATTTAAATTTGTGTTTTCATGGTCTGTTAAGTTGCCAGTTGCCATGTTGTCTCAGATTATAGGTAAGGTTGGCAACATTTGATACTAGGGGTCACTGGTATGCCTTAGCTTTTTGCTCACTGCTCTGTAACTCATTGTTTTTTCCATTCCCTTTCATTATTGTTCCCTTTCCATTTTCCTCCCTTCTTTGTCTACTCCCTTTTCTTCCCCTGACCCTTCTGTACTTCCTTATACTGCTTGCTTGTGGAACCCAGTTGTGGCTTAGCATCATGGGTGACTCCAGAGGGCTTACCCGTAGTTTTAATGAAAACAGATTGAATTTAGAATGCTTGAGAATTGACCAGATAGTCTTTTCCACTGTTTTTTCATTTACTGGTTTCTGGACTACCTCGCACACCCTCTTGGGAATAGTGTTACTCTCTTAGAATCAAATGGCTTGAACTTTAGATTGCTCTTATTCTCTTTTTTAATATTCAGGTTTTCCTTAACTCTTTGCTGCTTCAGAAAAAGTTTCGCTCATCTTATTATTCATTTATCATCTCTGTTTAAGCCAAAATTTGACTAGAACCAAGAGTATATTTATTGCTGCTGATAGGACCACATTAGACTTCCTCTGTGGTAGATTTAATTCTGTTAGATTGTAAAATAGTCATGTCTAGACAGAACATTGATTTCAAATTGACTATTGAACATGAAAATTCCAGGAATAGTGTATAGAGGAAGGAGGAGGAGGAGGAGAAATCAAGAAGGTAAGAAAACTACTGTAGATAGCAAGTGACTTTCTGTCATTCTCCACCTAGATTTCTTGTTAGTCACTTTTGTATACCCAGTGCATCTAGAGGTCAGGCTTTGTTTTAATAAAGGGACTTAAAGGAAATATGTTTTTGTCTCTGAGATTGGATTTTTTGAACTGTTAGAGTGGTGGACCTAAGGGAAAGAATTGGAAACTTCATATGGATAGTGATCAAGAATGTGGTCGTAGAGGTTGGTAGACTTGAGCTGTGGTGTCAGTGCTGCCAGTATCTAGCTTATGTATCATTTTCTGTTACTTGATTATTGTAGCACTTTTCTAGCTAAGATTCACCAGTTCCCTATCACTACTTCCTTTTCTTTCTAGTCCATCTGCATAGCTGCTGGAGTGATCTTATTAAAAAATAAATCTGAATATGTTACCCTTGCTTAAAACCTTTCACTGACTGTGAGTCACCTTTAGCATAGAATCTAAAGTCTTAGAATGTCATAAAAGGTCCTTCATCGTTTGGTTCCTGCCTATTTTTTCTAACCTCTTGGTATTGGTTAAGAGTATAGACTCTGGATATAGACCTAATTGGTTTAAATCTTGGTTTCATAACTTAACCTTGGTCAAGTTACTTCACCTTTGTGTGCCTCAGTTTTCTCATCTACACAATGGGGGGATATTAATAGTGCCTACCTCAGAGAGTGGTTTGAATATTAAATGCTAGTTATTCTGCTGCAGCTTCTCCTCAGCCTGAGTACTATATTCCATCCATACAGACTTGACTTGCAGTTTCTTAAATGTGTAATCCTTTATTGTATATCAGTATGGTGCCTTTGTACATATTACTCTTCCTCTTCTACCTGGCTAACCCCTTTTTGGTTTTAAGACTGAGAAGTATCACCTCTTTAGAAACATTTTCTCTGTCACTCAACCCAGATTGAGTTAGTTGCTTTCTGTTCATCTAACACCTTGTAAATGACCTTGATTTCAGTAATAATTGCAAATGTTTACTTGCCTGTTTCCACTTTAGACTGTGCAAATGTTTACTTTCCTGTTTCTACTCTTTGAAGACATCTTTCCTTTATCCACACACCCATTCCTGGAACCTGGTACACAATAGGTGCTCAGCAAATGTTTATTAAATGAATGAAATGAAATTATTTCACTTCTCTGAGCCACGGTTGTCCTCTTAATGTATTGAAGTGGTGAACTTGGATTAGATGATCCCTGATTTTTTTTCCTACTCTGAAAGCTTTATGGTTCTATAATTTTAAGGTTAGAGTTCAGTGGTGACATTTTATTAAGAAAAGATGATTTTGCTCATTGTTTTGATATCTTTAAGTTATGTTCAAATTTAAATTTTTTTAAATAATTAAAATTAGAATTTGAATTATATAGATTTAGAGGGGATCTTAGGTATCCTCATGTTCCATGGCTTTCATACTTTTTTGACTGTAATACACAATAGGAATTACACATTGCATTATGACTTAGTTCCCATGTAGTAGTAGGGGTGTATGTATATATGTCTGTGTGCATCAGAAATGAAAGTTTCATGAACTGTGTACTCTTAACTATGTGCAGGACACTTATGTATTTTTATATTACATTTCATTTAAAAAACATTGATCGTGACCCATTAATTGATTCATTGACCAACTAATGGATTGTAAATCCCTAAAACCAGTGACCTAGTTCAACAATCCTTATTTCCTGTATTCAGTACTCTCTTAGTGGAAAAGGAAGCTTCATATGTAAATGTGTGCAATGAAAAATATATGCACTGAAAAATATGGTCATTAATTAATCTACAATAGAGACTGTGTGCCTAGGTATAGAATATAGGGAAAACTGGTCTCAAGGGAGAACATGGCTCTTCCCTGATTAAGGTCTTCTCTCTTTTGGACTAGTCGAATAAATTAAGCACACACGAAGGCGCTGAAACAACATTAGATTGTAATTTTGGGGAGTTGGGATTTTTTAATTTAGGAAAGACTTGCTGGACTTAGTACTGGAAAAAAAGTCTTAGACGGAGATTAGGAAGGATGTTAATATGAAGGAAAAGACACAAAATAGCATCAGGAACACAATAGCCATTTGAGAGTAAACTTGACCATGGATGAAGGCAAGGTGGGATGGAGAAATTTTGACTAAATCTGAGGAAGAGATTTGTGTGATGAAGAGAGTTCACAATTGCTTGAAGAAGTAGGACAATCTCAGGGGGTTAACCCTTAAATTCAAATGAAAAGTAATTAAAACTGAGGAGGTAAGAGTGGATGATACATATCCTGATGTATGTCCCAAATACCCCATATGTGGATATAGGACTGAAAAGCAACTCGAAGACTAAGGTAGAATGGTAGCACTACTAAATAAAATTGGTAAGGAAGTAATGAGCCAGAGGAAAATTGAAAGTGCCTTCATAACTAAAAAAGTTTACAGATAGATATAGTTTTAGATGATAAGCATGAATAGAAATAAAGACATGTATTTGGAAAAATAAGAGTACATAATAAAACATGATAACGTAATATTCTCTTAAAGAGGCAGACACTGTATGATGGATATGTCTTCATTGTGAAGTCTAGTTAAAGAATTCTAAACATTAGTGGCTCAATATGTTGTTTATGTTTAAATGATGGTCAAATTTCAGTAATTACTCATACTGGTCATCCAGATTATATTCTTTGAAATCTGTATGAGACCCTACAGTAAAATACACTGTTCTAAGGAAGTAGATTTAGATGCTTTTCTGAATTTGGTATATGGTATTCACGCTTGAAACCTAAACTTTTCAGTGACCATTCTTTTGGACTAGTTTTTTCTTTGGTTGGCTGTAGTCACACTGGGAATTACTTTATTCTCTAATATTGCTAAAGAAAATAAATGTAAAGCAAGAAGAGAGTTACTACATTAGAAGGACTGGCTACACATGTGGGGAGGGGTTGCCTTTCAAAAGATTTTAAAAATGAATCAAGTCTTTACATATTGTAATAAAAGTAAGCCTATTTATAAAGCTTAGAGGGAGGAGTTTTCGTAGTTATGATTATTAACTTTAAAATTTTTATTTTAAAGGAAAAGTTTATTGTTCTTCCCATCTTCATAACTATATGTGATATATCAAGCTTGCTCCAAGGCATTATTTCAAGAGGAAGGGGCATGGACAAGTTATGAGATCTTGGCACATTTCTAAAACTCTGAGATTAACTTTTAAAATTTGTAAACCAAGATGTATTAAATGAATTGATAACTCCACATAACATGGTAGCTGGTCCAGAGTAGATCTTACATATTAGTTTTTAATCTATCTTTAAGTCCCATTTAAAAGGATATGGTATGTAAAACATTAAAAAATATAGATTTGGTTCTTGGGGGATATTTACATTTGCAGGTTACTTATCAGTCAGTTAATGTGAAATAATACTCTGACTAAATGATACAGCCAAAGAACATATCATTATAGAGAGCCAGATAGCTGCCAATAAATATCTAGAATATTCAGATATCGTGGTTCCTTACAAAGAGTTCTTTAAGGTCTCACTGTTTTAGCATGCATTAAAAAGAAACAATGGACTAAATCGTCTCTATTTATTAGTGGGAATTTAAAATATCTTTTTTTCTTGGACAACTTCTCTTAAACTTTTTAAGTGTTTTAAAACTTTTTAGTAGAAGTAAAGTTTTGAAAGATTCTCAAGTCTGTTTTTTAGGTACCAGCTACTTTAAGCTTTGAAAACACAAAGCTATTCAATGACTGTACTTTGAGATCAATATTTTGAATGTGGTATAATATTTTGGACTAAAACTTAAGAGTCTGTCATTCAAATTCCTACTTTCCTACTGACTCTTCTTTGACCTTTGACAGCCATTAAGATTTCACTTTACTCACCCTAAATTAAAGAGGGTGAAATAGGTATTCATTCACTTAACAAATCAATATTGAACTACATGCTAGACACTATGGTAAGTGCTTGGGATACATTATTAAACATGAAGACAGATATGATTATGCCTTTCTGAAGCTTATAGTCATAAAGTAAGTAGTCAAATGAACAACATAATTACAGATTGTCATACGTGCTCGGACAGAAACTAACAGGGTGCCGAGAGGATTACTCTTTATTTGCCTTATCACATATCACATCTGTTTACTTTATCTGCCTATTTCTTTTTTTTTTGAGACTGAGTCTCGCTCTGTTGGCCAGGCTGGAGTGCAGTGGTGCAATCTTGGCTTACCACAACCCCAGCCTTCCAGTTCAAGTGATTCTCCTGCCTCAGCCTCCTGAGTAACTGGGACTACAGGCATGCGCCACCATGCCTGGCTAATTTTTGTATTTTTGGTAGAGAGGGGGTTTAACCATGTTGGGCAGGCTGGTCTCGAACTCCTGTCTCAAGTGATCTGCCCTCCTTGGCCTCCCAAAGTGCTGGGATTACAGGTGTGAGCCACCGCGCCTGGCCTATTTCTTATTTGTCCTTTCTAATATTAGAATGTAAGCTCTACTGGGGTGGGGAAGGGTGTGACTTTTTCTTAATACTTCCAATGCATGGCACAGTTTCTGGCACAGAGGCGAAGCTCAGTGAATATTTAACTAGCTGCCTGAAGCAATGAATGCAGTGATGGGACTGGAGAGATAGGGACAGGATCATGCAGGTCTTTGATGTAACAGGGGAAGGAGTTAGAATAAAATGCAAATGGCAGTGTGAAGCAAAGAGTTTTAAGGAAGAGCAGATCTGGGTTATGTGTTGAGATCACTTTGGCAGCTATCTGAAAAACATACTGGAAGAGTGTAGGAGGGAAGAGGTGAGACCATTAGGAACCTGTTGCATCAGTGTAAGCTAGAGAGACTCTCCTAGATCCCTTCCAGCTTTGAACATTCTCTGATTGTATTGTAAAGCTTGCCTACACTTATCAGTCTTCCTTTTGTATCTTATTTTAGTCATCTTATTTTTTTTCCTACTTGTCATTGCTTAAAAAAAAAACATGAATGGATAGGCTTCTTGTGCATATGTGAACTTTGAATACAAATTCTCAGAAAAAAGAAATAATGAAACGCAGACTAGAGGTTATTGAATTTTTGTAACAAATTTCTATCTTTAGATTTTGTACATTTGCTAATTTATATATATTCTTATTTAAGCATTCCTATTTCTCTCTGAAATTGGCTTTACTCCTTTTCAGGTGTCTATTTTTTTCATAAGCTTACCACCTCTTTATTGTTTCAGATGTAATATACTATATTGTTGGTATGGTTGAAGATTCAGAAGTAGAAACTCAGTGTATTTTATATCTTAATTCTTAGAAATTTGATATCTTTTCAGGTTATCAAGGTCTTACAATAAAGGCTGAAAGGATGAATACTTAATACTTTAGGCTATTAGTTTTACTCAGGGCTGCAGCCTCTAACTCTAGGTATTCAGCTTGAATGTTTTTATCTGGAAAGATTTCAATCCTCTCCTGTTGGTGGTAAAGAGGTGGTGCTTGGCACAGGGAAATAAGCTCTTTATTATGGCAGAAGTTCAGCTGTAGCATCTGTGCCTAGGAAAAACTGCATTATTACACACAGGTAAAACCAGAAGAGATGTTAAACTTTACTGAATTTAAAAAATATAATGGTGCCTGCCTCTTTTCATCTGGTTTCACTTGGATTTTTTCATTTTGGAAGCAGATAAAGCTAACCATCTTTGATAAGCCACCTTCTATAAAGTTCAGTTTTACCCTATAAATACTATAGGTCATTTTATTTATTATTACCTTAAGTAAAATAGTTCTAGAAGAAGAACTGGATGCTAGGCCTTTCTTTTACCTGGTAGTGGAGTTTCATACTTCAGGATTAGTGAATACAGTTTGCTAATTAATTTTATATAACCTAAGACTCAAAATGAACTTGTAATAATTACTAAAATTATATGAGGAGAAATGAAAAGTCAATGAGTAAATGAGGACGATGATAAATAATGAATAATTGCAAGATAACATATACAAGACGGATATGGTAATAGTAAAGCAATTTGATTAGTGGGCATTCAAAGTAGAATAAAACACCTTTCTGAATGGCCAGAAAAATGGTTGAATAGCCACTGACCATCTTTTTAATTCTATATTATATAACAAATCTTTCTTGGTAATCTTTACTTATTTTCCTCCTCAGTTCTTTAGAGATACATATACTTGGTTTGGGTGTTGAATTAGGAAATTAATTGCTAATTGTAGTTTTTGTTAAAATGTAAATAGAGATTGCTTATTAGCTGAGAGGGTTAGAAATAATAGAGGAAATTAAATTAGCAAGCTTTTACTGCTGGGAGGGCCTAACAAACTGTCAGGTACTATTTTCTCCAGTAACTACCTTTATCGGAATGATGCTTAGGAAGAATAAACTACTCAAGCTGATCCTCACTTCTGAAGGATGGAGTAAAAGTAAAAGGTTAGGGTCAGAGAAGAAGGGTGGTTATACTTTATTTTCCTTTTGAATCATTGAAGAGTAGTTTTGACTTTTTACCTGCAGATCTTATTTTTCACTATTGTATCCCTAGAATATCCCCACATCAAGAACTGTAGTTTCTAGTTAGTCTAGCAACATATATTTAGCAGTCCTCAATTAGACAGTATTTTTGTAATTAATATCTAGCCTTGCATCTGTGATGGAAGGAAATCAGCTCACTAAGCCAGAGCACAGAAGAGTAGAGGAGCCTACTCTGTTATAGATAATAGAACCATTGAAACGTTATTTGTCAGTTAGGGCTGGTTAATAGAAATAAAAGCTCATTTTGTTGGTACATATGTAGCCGTTTGTTGGCAAGAATGGTTTTCTTTAAAAAAAAAAAAAAAAAAACAAAAAAACCCCTAACACTTGCTTTATCTTCAGATTCAATGAAAGTAATTAATTATGCAGATCTTTGGGTTGATATAGTAGAAAGAGCAAACATTCTGCCAGGAGAAAACCTGGGTGTTGTGCCTGTCTACCACAGTATGGAATATCATGTGAACTTGGGAAAATTTCATTACCTTAGTTTCTATTTTATAGTACCTACCTCAAAGATTTGAGTAAGGATCAGAGGCTACACACACAAGCCCAAGCATACTCACATAAACATATATACATGCGACTTAAAAAAAAAATTATTTTAAGTTCAGGAGTACACCTGCAGGTTTGTTACATAGGTAAACTTGTGTCATGGGGGTTTGTTTTATGGATTATTTTATCACCCAGGTATTAAGCCTAGTACTCATTAGTTATTTTTCCTGATCCTCTCCCTCCTCCCTCCCATAGGCCCCAGTGTTCCCCTCTATGTGTCCATGTCTTCCCATCATTTAGCTTTCACTTGTGAGAACTTGTGGTATTTGGTTTTCTGTTCTGTGTTAGTTTGCTAAGCATAATGGCCTTCCAGCTCCATCCATGTCCCTGCGAAGGACGTGCTCTCGTTTGCTTTTATGGCCATACATGCAACTTAAATTATTTTTCTTCTCTCCTACCTTTTGCTGAACATGCAACCTTTAAAACTTTGAAATGCTATGCCAAATATTTGTAATTAATACAGTTATTTTTTTCAAGGAGTAGAGAGTAATAGGAAGGATTGAAGGGAACTATACCAGCACTTCGAATTCAGAATTTGTGATGCCTGATGGGTCGACATTTATCTTTAGGCTGTCTGCAAATAAAGGGGTTAATTCCATAAACAACCAAATATTAGATATTAGAGGGCTTATTCCTTACAGTGACCTTAAAGGCTCTGTATGATATGGCCCCATTCCATCCTTATCTTTTGCGGTATTGGCCCTCTGGTAGTTCCTACAACAAACCAACTGCTTTTTATTCCTCTGAGCTTTTTTTCACTTGTTTGTCTTCCATTAATATTTATGACAAGGGCCATATCAGACTTATAATGTAGTTTCTTCCATGCCTGGCACATAACAGATGCTTAACAAATATTTATCAATGAATGTTGAATGCTTTCGAGCACTTAGAATGGGGGTCCGCAGACATTTTTGTAAAGGGCCAGATAGTATTTTAGGCAGTCCCTTTTGCAGTTTCTCAGCTGTGCCAGCTGTAACACAAAAGCAGTCAGACAATATGTAAATAAACTAGTGTCACTGTGTTCCAGTAAAACTTTATTTGTGGGCACTGAAATTTGAATTTCATATAATTTCATGTGTCACAGAGTATTATTATTTTGATTTTTTTTCAACCATTTAAAAATGTAAAAACCATTGTTCAGGGGCTATATACAGACTGGATTTTGACCTGAGGGCTGTAGTTTGCCAATCTCTTGGACATTGTATAGGTGGCATCCCTCCCCCACCTTAGAAATATGTTTAAAAAACTTTGTTCGGGAGCATTTTCTTATAGAATTATTGTTATATATGTAGGTTAAGTTCCTAGACTAATCCACAATCCTGTTTTACTTCCAGTGTTTTAGTCTAGCAATACAACTTTGTTTTACCCCCAAGAATAACTCTGTCTCTGAGGGAAAATAGATTTAGTATTCCTTCTTGGACCAGAAGCAGCACATATTCTCCCCAGCACTCTCACAGTTTCCTTCTTCCCTGATCTCTCTTCTACCTGCTGGGGTTTGCATCCTAGGAAATACTCTTCTAGGGGCTCCTGTAGGGTGGAATGGTAACAAAACTAAAAAGAGCTTTCTGTGTGTGATTAGAGAGGAGGGCATGGGAGGAGAAAGGTGGAGAGAAGAGTGCAAAGTAGTTTCTTTTAAAACTGCAGATTACAGCCCATTTGAGGCTTATAAAATCAGTGTAGAGGGTCACCACAGACAAAAAAAAAAAAAAGAAAATAGAAAATATTAGAATGAATCACCCATAGCATAGTATTGTTTTGTGAAACTTCAGTTGTGTGTGTGATTGTATGTGTGTATGTACTGGGTCACAGTGAAAAATGTGCTATGTGGTCAGAAAAGTTTGAGAGCCTGTGTTCCAAGGGTTTGGGGTACTGATCCTGAGTTTTTTTGTTTGTTTGTTTTTGTTTTTTTCCCTTACTGTATATGAGGCGCATGAAAAGTGTAAAGGCAGTCTCTTGATTTCTTGCTACAGTACGTTTTTGGTACTCAGCTACCTTATGAGGTAGTTAACTGTTTTACAGATGAGAAAACAGGGTCATACAGATAAAAAGCTTCACAACTGAGATTGAAACAGAAGCTCACCAGAAGCTCACCTTATTTTAGAATATGTTCTTCTTCCATTATACCATGTTGTTTTTCCTGTAGGAAAAGGAGCTATGTACGACTTCCTTTGTGTTTTAGAGGACAAAAATTATTCCAGTTGGCCACAGCTCACTGATTTCTTGAGACAAAGCATTGGCTTTAGTGATAGGACAGGGCCACTGAAAGGTGTGAAGAGAATGGTTAGGAACTCAGTAGAAAGGATGACGTAGTATGTAAGAAAGGAGGGATTTCACCTTTATTTTCTTCTTTGTCCTCTGTAGTACTATCCCTGCTCCTTCATTCCTCACCACCAGCTGGGCTCTTAACTCATGCTAGAAATAGCACAGAATTGAGGATGAGGTTTAGTGAGGAAGGGTAATATAATCATGTCTTTAGCTGAAAGGGGAATGAGGAGGGAAACCCAAGTAGCAGGGCCACCTGGCCACCCAGATGGGTTGGCTGTTCCCAGGTGGCAATTTACAAGTGGGTGTAGGTAAAACAGGGCCTGCTATTAATTGTGTTACAAGCAGAAGTCTTGGCTGTGGAAACTGGTAGCTTTGATACGCTAATTGAAAATAGTTCTTTTTAAAGTTATATTAAGGGAAAGCCTGTCTTAAGCAACACTTGGTTAGTCCAGAGTCAGTTACCCATTTTAAGTACTTAAAAATCATAATATATGTCTTTTAAGAAATCTCTTTTTCTTAGTTTCTGGTAAAAACTAATTTATCCCTGATTCTGATCTCTACCTTAATTTGGAATGGTTTTGGGAAGAAAAAGATTGATGGGAAGGCTCTTCTTCACTAGGAAAGTAACAGAACCATAGTAGACAGGTTGGTTAATTGAACAGAAAGATGAGAGATCCTTACAGAATGTGTTCATCTTCCCCAGGCCGAGTTGGGATTCTTGCTTTTACAATGGGAATTACTGTTTCATAGGGAATGAGTTTTAACTATGTAGTAGTATCTGAAGACTTAGTATTTTTTAGCCCATCACTTGCCCCTACAGTATTGCTTACCATTCTGTATTATAATATCTTGTTAATGTGTCAGGCTCCCAGCTGACCCTAAGTTGTTACAGATTTTTCAGTGTAAAGTTAGTGTGTTCAGCTTAGGTTAAGAGTATTGAAGCCAGATGCCTGGTCCTCGTCTGGAAAATGGAGATAATAAGGGTAACCTACTTTACACAGTTGTTATAAAGTGTAAATGAGTTGATAGATGCAAAGTGCTTTGAATGATTTCTCACATGTAGCATTCTAAATAACTAAATAAATATTAATTGCTGATGCTGCTTGATATTACCCACCAGTGTCAAGCTCTGAACTATTTATTGAATACGAACAAGTTATAATGTAGTGAATGTATTCACAATATTGAGGACATTCCAGTATATTTATTGAGAAACTGTACCTTTGTAGATGGCCATGCTGTTTTGTTTAGGATGCAAGTAGTGTTTATTTATAATATTTGTATTTATTTGACTCTGATTTAATTCTAGAACATCATCTGGTGTTCAGGGAAGAATACTAATATTTTCAATTATGTAGTTTATTGGTATAGTTTTATGTAAAGATTTTGGGGAGGATCTTTTCAGAAAAGTGTAAAGTAGCATGTCATTCAGTAGTATACAGGTTGAGCATGCCAGATCTGAAAATCCAAAATTTGAAATTCTTCAAAATTCGGAACATTTTGTGTGACAGCATGATGCTCAAAGGAAATGCTCATTGGAGCATTTCAGATTTCAGATTTTCAGATTTGGGATGCTTAACTGGTATACCACCAGTATTTTGAAATATTGAAATATTTGAAATCCGAAAAAAAAATCTGAAATCCAAAACACTTCTGATCCTAAGCATTTTGGATAAGGGATATTCAGCCTGTATTCCCGAATGAGAGCACCTGAAAACCTTCTTTCCAAAGTGAGAGAAAGATAAAGTGGTGTGAATGTGTGAGGGGAATAACTGAAATTTCTAAAAGTGTATCTTGTTTTGTTTTCTCAGCATCTGAATATTAACATTTCTGGGTAGTTTCCGTGTTTTATAGTTTTTTAAGTGATTTCATGTCTGTTTCTGTTGATCCTATTTGAGCCTGTTTGAACTAGGTTCTGTTTTGTTTTAACTCAAACCCTGAGATAATGCAATTTGCCTGAAGTCACTAATCAGTGGAGCTAGAACTAAAACCCTGATTTTCAAGTTCAGTGTTCTTTTGTAGTAGCAAAAAATGCTTTCTGGCTTTTAGAGAGTCCCCTTCCACTGTCTCCCATCCTTAGTGTTTGCAGTGATTTATAGAGTTGGTTGCTTTGCAGATAATCTTTGTACCACACTTTCAGAAACCCATGTTTAGAGTCTGGGGAGCCAGAAGTAGCAATATAGCAATAATAAGCACCAAAGCGAACTCTAATTCTAGGGCAGATTTTTTTTTTTTTTGGAGTAGGGGTCTTGCTTGGCTAGCTTGATGTTGTAACTATAAATCCACATGTTAATTGTTGCCTGAAGTAAATTTGTAGGTAAATCCTGCCATTGATTGCTGCAGATGTGCTTTTCTCAATCACTTTTGCTTTTGATTAAGAACATTTAAAATTGTTTTCCTGGGCAGGGCACCATGGCTTCATGCCTGTAATCCCAGCACTTTGGGAGGCAGAGGCGGGCAGATCACCTGAAGTCAGGAGTTTGAGACCAGCCTGGCCAACATGGTGCAACCCCGTCTTTACTAAAAATATGAAAATTAGCCGGGTGTGGTAGCACACACCTGTAATCTCAGCTACTGGGGAGGCTGAGGCAGGAGAATTGCTTGAACCCATGAGACGGATGTTGCAGTGAGCCGAGATTGCGCCACTGCACTCCAGCCTGGGTGACAGAGCGAGACTCTGTCTCAAAAAAAAAAAAATTGTTTTTCTAACAGTCCATTGCTAGATCAGTCTCATTACACATGTGCCAGAATTTTACATTATTTTCACATTACTACATTACTTGGGTCAAAATTGGAACTGGCAAGTTATGTCACAGCACAACCATTATGTATAACAATAGTATTGCTAATGATTACCGTTTGTTAAAACTGTCATTATTAACCACCACTTATAGCATGCTCCCTGCTAAGTGCTATTAAGTTTTCATGATAATGTGCCTGACTAGCCCTACAAGGTAATTGTTACCCCATTTTATAGATAAGGAAACTGAGACTCAGTGACTTGCCTAAGGCTATGTAATTAAGTAAGTAGCAGAACTTAGGTCTGTAAGGCTTACATCTATTCTTTGGTATCTACTATGCTAAAATAATGAGTTACCAATTCCAGGACTGTGTGATGTTTTTTGAACCTGTTCTGCCAAGGTTCTCTATCCTGCTCAAGTTAACAGCAACTACTGTTGCCAGCACCCCTTGAAACCTATGATGTGGTAAAAACTGCTGACTTACCAAATTGAAGTGAATGATGGTCTACTATGTTTCCTGTGGCTGATAATAGCAGAGCTTTCTCCACCTCTGAAATGAAAGTACACTGCTTGACCCTTGAACAACGTGGGGATTAGGGGTATTGACACCCTGTGAGGTTGAAAATCCAGATATAACTTTTGACTCCACCAGAAGTTAACTAATAATACCCTGTTATTGACTGGAAGCCCTACTGATAACATAAACAGTTGATTAACGCATGTTTTGTATGTTATATGTGTTACACATATACATACTATTTTGTATGTTTTATTGTATTCTTACAATAAGGAAGCTAAAGGAAAGAAAATGCTATTAAGAAAAATCATAAGGGAGGGAAAATATTTTTACTCTTCATTAAGTGGAAGTAGATTAGTCTTGCTATCTCAGGGATGGCAGAGGTAGAAGAAAGTCTGCATACAGGTGGATTCACACAGTTCAAACCCATGTTTGAGGGTTGTTTGAGGGTCAGCTGTAATTGTCCATAGCTGCTTAAAAACTGAGTAACAGAAGTTGTTCCTTTTGGTTATATAGTGAGCCAGAATCAGAACTAGGTCAGAATTCATTTGCTCTGATCACCACTTGAGTAATTAGAGAATCAAATGTTCAAAGTAAATGCATCTTCTTAAAATGATTATACCTTGACTCAGAGAAGTTGAATTAATTGAAATTTGCTCATGTAGAAGAAAACAAATCCATGTTGCTTTTGACTCATATTTAGAACATAATTTAATGTTAGTGGTCATTAATTGCTCATTGGTGCCTGTTTCCTGTGTTGGGTGAGTGAGCAAGAACATGCTAGATAAGTACGAATAGTTCTGGCATTAGGATTTGTGGTTCCCCTCTTCACATTATTTTTAAGACAAATTGATTAAATGATGTAGCATACTTTGTTTTTCCTAATTGAAGGACCTCAACTTTCTGTTACTATAACTTTTTGTTTTTTTTGAGAGGGAGTCTAACTGTGTCACCCAGGCTGGAGTGCAGTGGCGCGATGTCGGCTCACTGCAACCTCCACCTCCCAGTTTCAAGCAATTCTCCTGCCTCAGCCTCCTAAGTAGCTGGGATTACATGCGCGCTCTACAACGCCCCGCTAATTTTTTTTGTATTTTTTTAGAGGTGAGGTTTCACCATCTTGGCCAAGCTGGTCTGAAACTCCTGACCTGGTGATCCGCCTACCTTGGCCTCCCTAAGTGCTGGGATTACAGGTGTGAGCCACCGTTCCTGGCCTGTTATTGTAACTTTTAAAGTATCAATTAGCTTGCAGAAACTGAGATATGAAGAGAATAGGAAGAAAGGGAAATTTCTTATCTGTGTTTTTTAGGCTAGGGAATATGAATAAAAGGTGGCAAAGGAGTAGTGAAGACAAGTAAAAAATTCCTAGGGACTTGATTTGAATTTAAGGGATGGAATTTATAGAAAACCAAATATAGCCATAATCCGTTTAGTTATAATTTCCATTATAATTAAACAATAATCCACTTAGTTGTTGAAATCAACCAACAATTAAGGGGACCCTACTATGTTCGTCTCATTGTGCCAGGTACTATGGAGCTTACAAAAAGAGTGTAAAGTTTTTAATTGTCTAAGAAAACAGTCACTTTGGAATGATAATCCATATGCTCTAAAAATACACATTCTGAAACTAAAAATGCAATATAAAAACATGAGATACATTGATTACTAAAATTAATGATATCTGACACCAAGTGACTTTTTTTTTTTGGGAGGCTTGGCTTATCTTTTAGGACTTCACTAGGTTAGGGATGCATTTCAGATTCTACTCCACCTAGTCTTAGTTCTTGGCCTTGTTTCTTTCTGAATTTATTGCTGCTAAAATAAAACCACCACGAGGATAGGGATTGTGGCCCTCGTGTTTATTACCACAGTCCTAGTGTCCAGTGCTCAATAAATACTGTTGAATAAATTAATATGAAAGTCTTCCTTTTTCCTCTCACCGTCCAGTTTCTTCAAATGATTCCTCTGTATGTGGCTCCACATCCGTACCTTTTGTTCCCTCTTTAACCAACTGTTAACCTAAAGTAAGTGACATAATTCTCTCAAAGATTAAGGATTTTTTAGTAGCCTAATCTAAAGCATTCTTATTATATTTGATTATGAATTGACTTTTCTATAAGTTTGACGCTATTGTCTGCCTGTTTCTTCTCAAAGTTCTCTTGTCCTGTTACACTCCCAATTCTGTAGCCCCTTGCTACCTCAGTATTCATTCTGCCCATCCTTTTTGTGTTGCTGTTTCTCAGAGTTTAATCCTTAATGGAATTTTGCTCTACATACCCTTCCTGTTGAAGTAATCCCATCTCATCTTCACTTTTTGACTAAGTGTAGGAGATGTCCAGAGTTACCTTGCTGATTCTGATCTCCCTCCTGAGCTCCAAACTTATTTATTAGTCATCTAGTAAATGTTAAGTATATGTCACAACTGGGAGAAGAGATGAATAAGACACAATCTTTACCCTAGGGGATTCATAGCCTAGTGGGAGGAGAATGATTAGTAAACTAGCATTTATGCAGCACATGGAATCTATGTTAGAGTCCCTTGGGATAGCAGAAGCAGCTTTTGGAGTGGGGTCAGGTAATTTTTCCTACAGGGACACTTGAGGTGATCTTGAAGGATGGATGATTAGGAGTTCACCAGGTAAATAGAGAGGGAGGAATATTTTATGTTTTCTCTGTCAGGCCTGGTGAGTTGCTCCCTGGTGGTGAGACAGCTCAGTATGGACAAGTTTTCCAAGGCCCGAGGACAGTTAGAGAGTAGGCCCAGGGGAGCCAATGTCATGGCCAACAAAATGGTATCAAGCATTAAAGCCAGAGGGTTAGAAGTGACTGAGAAAACAGGGGAGTTAATAACAAACGAAATACATGACTACTCATTCAAAGCAGTGTATGTAAGGGAATGATTTAGACTAAGACTCTGAAAGTGGCATGCGCTGGGTTTGTCCTTTTCAGTGATACCTGTTGTATATTGCCGTAGCCACCATGATAGATTAAAGCAGTGCTTCTCCAGCTTTAATATGCATAGGAACCGCATGGAGATATTGTTAAAATGTAGATTTTGATTTGTTAAATCTGGAGTGGGGCCTGAGGTTCCGCATTTCCAAGAGGCTCCCAGTGATGCCATGCTTGGTTCAGGGACCGTACTTTCAGAAGAAAGAGATTAAAGGAGCCAAGAATGGCCAAATGCAGAGGAAACAATTTATACAGGCACATGAATAATTGTTATGTGTTTCAGGAACTGAGATTAGTTCAGGACACTGAGATCTTAAGGCATATATGGGGGATGGAGCAGTAATGGGAGACGAGTCTGCAGAGGTGGGTAGGGGTCAGGTTATGAGGGGCTGGATTTGCTAGCGAGTGTTAACTTCATGCCAAGGACTGTGGAAGGGCCATTTTGAGCAGAAGAGTACTATTATCATTCAATGCTTTAGAATGAAGAGATGAATTAGGTTTTTATCAAGTTGAGTTCAAAGTACTTGTGGCCCATTCTGATAGGGATATCAAATAAGTAGTAGAGGTAGATCTAAGCTGGGCAGAGAGATTTGAGTATTCAGCCAATAGATGTACAGCATGAAATCAACTAGGCAGAATGAGGAATGAAAACAGACCAAAGATCTAACTCTGGGGAATGCTGTCATTTTCAGAGCAGGGAGAGAAGTTAAGGAAGAGCTTGTAGAGAAGATCAAGGTGTGTCCAGAAAGGTAGAAGGAAAACAAGTATCGTTTCATTGTAAGAAATCTAGATGGAGACAGTATTAAAAAAATGTCAGATCTAATAAGGTAGAGCCTGAAAAGTCACCACTAGATTTGTCAATTAGGAGATTATTTGTAACTTTACCAAGAGACATTTTGGTAAAGTGGTGGAGACAAAATCCATGTTGTAGGAGATGAGTAGTGAAATGTAGATGAGGAAGTGGTTTCAGCTGTGGTCTATTACTTTTCAAGAAATGTTGGCTAAGAAGGGATGTAAAGAGGTGGGGAAGAAAGCCAGAGTCGAGATGTTTCTGTGCTTAAGAGTTGAGTTCAGGAGAGAGCTTACAGAAAGGGGAAAATTAAAATTGAAACCATTTGGAGCCAGAAACTTGGCTGCCATCTTCAACGTGTTCTTCATAATGTTCTTCAAAATCCAAGCAATTACTAAGTTCTGTCAGTTTGACTTTCCATGTGTTTCTTGAGTCTATACCTGCTTCCTTTCCATTACCAATGTGTTAGTTCCATCCTTACCATCTCGTATCTGGACTCTTTAAGTGGACCTATTCCTCCCTTACTCCAGAAACTAAACAAAGCAAACAAAAATGCACCAGGGAAACAGAAAACTTCCCTTCCACACTCTTTGCTAGAAACCGTGGAGATTACAGAAACTAAGGGATCTATGAAAATGTACAGATCTGCTCCTGACAGTTAACTTCTTAAAACCCCTTACTTCTTGTCACTTACAAATGGTGAAAGTCAAGCTTTTTAACAATACACGCAGTACCCCCAAGATTATTCTTTTCCAGCTTCATTTCCTGCCACTCACTGCCTCCCACTTTAATCTTACAACACTAGAAGACTTCTGATCTTTACTACCCTTGTGCCTTGTGCCTCTACACTCCGCTGATTTTGTACTTCCTGCAATTACTGTGGGACACCTCTATCTCACCTCTTCCCTAGCAAGTTGTTAGGTGCTTCTTTCTGTGTTCCCATAGCACCTTACTTATTTACTGATTGTTACACTTTCTACATTATTATTTTCTCTACTTCTCTCTCTTCACGTTAGAACTTAACAAGTTTTTCTCATTCATCTCTGTATTCTCCGTGAGTGGCTCAATGCTGGTGGAATCGGCGCCCAGTTCACGTTCACTGAAATGTGAAGAGTAATACAAGGAGGTAGTGGCATTTGTCTGGACCTTGGAAGAATGATAGGATGTCACCAAGTTCCCTTTGATGGGGAAGAGGATTCTGTACAGAGTGGCTAGCATACGCAAGAGCTTTGAGGCAGTCAAGATGATAATATTTATAGATAATGCTGAAAACTCCCTTTAGACAGGAGAGAAGAAGTGGAAAATGTAATGGCAGATAACGTTAGAAAAATAAGTTGGGCACAGATGAAATGGAGCCTGGGATGCCATGTTTTAAGATTTTTCTTTCCTTTTTTCCCCTGTAGCAGTGGGCAACCTTTGTGTATTGTTAAAAAGTAGAAAATAACACCAACTCTTGAATTTTGAAGAAAGGTTCTGTATTTTCTGGAAGTATCTGATGTGGATAATCTGTTCCCTGCCCCCCCCAAGGTTTTAGTCATTTCTGTTTCTGTTATATTTTATTTTATTTTATTTATTTATTTATTTATTTATTTAGAGACAGGGTCTCCTTCTGTAGCCCAGGCTGGAGTGCAGTGACGGGAACATGGCTTACTACAGCCTCCACCTCCCAGGCCCAAGCGATCCTGTCACCTCAGCCTCCTGAGAAGCTAGGACCACAGGCATGCCACCACACCTGGCTAATTTTTTAATTTTTTTTGTAGAAATAGGGATCTTGCCATGTTGCCCAGGCTGGTCTCCACCTCCAGGGCTCAAGCAGTTCTCCTGTCTTGGTCCCTCAAAGTGCTGGGATTACAGACGTGAGCCACCATGCCCAGCCTTTATTTTTTTTCAGTTTCCTTCCTAAAGATAAGATGTTTTGTTTTGTTTTTTCAGTTCTCTTCCTAAAGATTATAGCATGTTTGCCCATTTTGGGTATAAGTACTTTCTGTCACTGTTCTTTCATATCTTTAAAAGCAGTCCTTGACGAGTTCTAGATTTGTTTTCTCTCAGAGATAATTATTTAATAATATACCTTGCATTATTTTTTTCTTTAATATTAGAAAATATTCTGATACCTACTTTCATATTCCTTAGAAAACTTTCTACATTTGTTTCCTTTTGGCTGGTAACTTGCTGTTCAGAATTGCTTGTTGAAATTGGTAAACCTGGAAGTGTTAATATACGTATGCTTTTCCAGGTTATTTGTAAAAGTGTTGAAATTGATTTTGCATCATTCATAAGGGAGACTGACTATTCTTCCTTGACGTTTGCTTATTCCCTTAAGCCAATAATCTAGTTTATGATTGCAAGACCCTCGCAGTTGTGTTTGCGTGTGTTTAAATGTGGTGTTGTCAAGTTGTGGAAGGAAATCCAGGGATTGAATGTGTTTGGGAAACTGTTAGACAAGATTAGGTTAAATAGGGGAATAACATATAGGGTAACAGCCATTGAAAAGCAGTGTGCCTTTTATTTTGTTGCTGTGGAGAAAACAGAAAGCTGTGGCCTATGCTTATGCTCTAGTTGAAGGGAGAATTCTATATTTAAATCAACAGTAAATGTTACAATATAGTTTATATTTAAATGCAAAATTGCATGAGAAACCAGATGAATACCAGCTGAGTAACTAAGAAATCCAGGACAAAGAAAAATCAAGAGGCAAAGTAGGCTGGAAAGCTTCATGAAGGAAATGGGACTTCAGTGAACCTTGAAAGATGAGTTAAAATCTATATAGCTGGAAAAGTGGTTGTGGTTGAGGGGGTGAGAAGTTGCGGGGAAGGCAAGGGAAGGGGCATGAACTAAGATGGGGTGGGACAGTGAGAACAGTATGTTTGCAGTGTAGGGTTTAGAACTGGGTTGGGAGGGTCAATTATTGCCAGGTTATTTATGTAGGTCCTTGAATGTCAGAGTAAAAGAGTTGGAAAGGTGTTTGGGGCTGTATGAAGGGGTATAGGTGGGTGTAGGGGTATATGGGAGGACGTATGAGGAGGGGGGATGTGAGGTATGTGGGGGATGTGAAGGTGTTGTCAGGTGTGTGAGAAGGTCTTAATGTGGTGTATTCTCTAAAGCAAAATAAAAAAATTAGTAGAGTGAAAAATGTCTGACCTATAAGAAAACCTTCTATAATCGTAAATGCCTGTTAGTCATTGTGATTAGCATAACATTACAGTAAGTATTGGCCTATTTTTTCCTCTCTTTAATATTCTACTTGATCATCTTTGTTATTAATTTAATAAAAAATGCTACTTATAATCTGAAATAACTCTATGTATCTGCCCTTTTTTGATTTAGTCTTTGGGTGAAGTATACCTTGCCACAATGCTGAATTTAACATGCCACTTCTGATTTTTCTTGTTAGAGTGTTTGAGTCTTGAGAGCAGATGTCACATTTCGTACAATTCTTTGGCCTGTCTAGTACCCTGTGGGCTGCCCGGTATGGAGTTGGCACTAAATATTGGAGATCTATGCATTAACCCTTACGTCTTCAGGCTTGGTAACCTGTAAAGTCAGTATGCAGTAACTCTGAATATCATAGATAATTGTCGTGAGTCTTTTAGTTGCAAGAACTGTTTACCCTGATTTATCTCATTTCATTCTCCTGTTTAATCCACTGACTATATCGTGAAGACAACCCCATTTTTCCTTCTTCCCTTTTAATGAGTTTCCTTTTTCATTACTTCTCAGTACAGACTGCTTTCTGCATATGTGCCATTCTTTTCCCTGAGTACCCTCTTCCTTCTTTATATACTTCTTTTTATACTTTCCAAATATAGCTAGAATCTTTTTCATATACTGCTTCTATGAAGCCTTTTTTAATTAATCTTTTTTATTCCTTTTAGTCTTTATTCACATTCCTCATGTATTTTGTTTGCCAATAAGCTATAAATTATTTTCAATAAATTTCTAAATTTTTGATATGTTTGATATTCAGAATGAATTGCAGATTCCCCAAGGGCAGAAAAAGACTCTTCTATTTCTTTTGGTGTGTTTCCATAATGTTTTGCATATACTGAGCATTTAGATACGGTTATTGTTACAAGCTCAGTCTCCTGTCCTGTGCCTAGAGCTCATGTGTGGAAAGGTGCCTCCCCTGCTTTATTAAAAGTCCTCTGGTTCTCAGACTTGATTTTTTTTTTTAAATATACATTTGCTAGGAAGAAATTGTTTTTCCTTTGTCTTTGTCAATGTTGAGTAAATGCCAATGAGTTAATATATTAATACTACTTAAATTAGTGGTTGAATACGCTTTATTGTGCATTTAGCTCCTGCTAATAATTTTCTTTGCATTTTAATACCTAAATTCTAAGAACCTGAAGGGACATCAAGAAATAATTTAATTTGATCTACTTTTAGGTCATGGTTTTATTCAAATAAGAAAATTTGCAGAATATCTAGCCTAGATGTCTCTGCATTTACGTAGGTATGTATAAAATTATAAGTACATTTTTATATCAGATATATCAATATTTTGTGAAGAAAAAGTAAAAAGAAAGAATATGCTGTTTGCTGTATGTTCTAGCAAGCAAAAGTGTAGAATAGCTGCTCTTATGCCTTGCACTGCCTTTTCAGTTTCAATGGAATTGAGCAGATATATATTGAAAAACTCATTGTGTAATATTCTGAGGACTAAGCCTCGTTGTTAGCCATCTGTTAAGATTTCATTTTAAAGACAAACTTGCCTTCTACTCTTTGGGGTCACCTAGAGAGCTGCTTAAATTGCCATCTTCTTGCTCTTCTTTTAATCGACATCTTGTTAATTTTTCTGCTCATTCTCTTCTCTTGTTTCTTTCTCCCATTTGCATTCCTTATGACTTGATTTCATTTGTTCATTGATCTTTGGCATGAGTAGGAGAAAAATAATTTGTTGAATGCCTACCGTATTACAGATTTTTATTTATGAAGATTGCTTGTTCTCTGATGCAAGTTCTTTTACCCAACATAGTGACAAACCTGATCACGTATTTTCCATTTTCTCCTTTGAGTTAGCATTGAAAATATGGAGCCCATGGTTTGATACGTATTTATTCTACCACAGCAAAATTTTAATGATTGATAGCTCACTTCTTAAGTGTGTTCCACCTGCCACTTTTGCATCTACCAAAAAAAGTCATACATTATTTTTGCACATTAGCCATAGTATGTAAAGCCCAATTAAAAGTAAGCCATGCGTTGATGCAAAAAGCTTATTATGTCTTAATGGAAAGTTAATATCATGGACATTCAATGTGTTGTGTAATTGATTTAAAGCATTGATAGCTTACCTTATGTTGTGCTTCATATTTTCAGAATACTTTTCAACAGACATTTCTCTCTCTTGCCCCTTTTCAGTCTGGCAGCAATAGACTGCAGTGATTTTTTTATTTGATGTTCTGGTTTATCACTGCCACTTGTGCAAATTCAAGAAAGTTGTCAATGATGTATTTCTTGGCCCATACAATTAACGAAGTGTTGGCTTGATCTCTTCCTTTGACATACAGGCTACTAGATGAACATGGTAGAAGTCTGTGGTCCCTGAGTCATTTTGTTGAGCAGGATTTGTTGTAGATGTTTAAATGCATCCTTTCTGAAAATTATGATGTTTTTTTTCTTAATAACACATCTTTTAACTCCCAGCATTTTGTATGCATTTAGTTTTACATATAGATATTTTACAAGTAGAAGTTATACTTGTCTTTCTATAGTTTCCAGGATTTTCTTTTTCCTTTGTTAGAGGTAGCCATCACTTTACCTTCTTGGAGGCACATTTTAAGTACACAGGAGAGAAAGCAGTAAGAAAAGTTCCAGAAATTACTTGAGAGAGTAATTTCCAAGTACAAGATAGGACTGTTTCTAGGGTAGGCAAGAAGGTGGTTTATGTGTTCATTTGTTTGACAGCTGTGCCTATTTGTTTGACACTTGTATTGGAGACATTCATGTTAGCTTATTGTTTTCCTTGAAATGCCCACATACATTATTTGTGATGAGACATCATTTTAGATTTTTTAATTGGATGAACTAGTTGGTACAACATTGAGGAAATGATTGAACAGATAGAGTGGCTGTGTTCTAAGAATGCCTCATATGGCATGGGTTATAATGAGGTCATTGGGACAATCAAGTTTAGCACTATGGAGTGTCTAGAGTGGTGCTACAAAAGAAATGCAATGCCAGCAGCAAACATGAGCCAAAAAATGAAATTTCAGATTTTCTAGTAGCCACATTAAATGTTTTTAAAATAAAATTAATTTTAGTAATGTATTTTATTCAACAGTATATTCAGAATATCATTTCAATGCATAATCAATATGAACATGATTAATGTGGGTTTTTTTGGTGCTAATTTTTTGAAATCCAGTGTGTATCTTGTACTTACGGCACATCTCAATTCATATTAGCCACTTTTCTAGGACTCTAACTATACATGGCTAGTGGCTACTGTATTGGACAGCTAAAGTCTAGAGCATTTGGTGAAATTGTGAAATTGTGATGATGCCAGGAAATTGGGGAAAGCATAAGAGGAGCAAATATGAATCTCTAAGGTAGACCTTGTGCAGGGAATTCTATAGGAAATTATATACTTTTGGGAGAGAGACAGAAACTGGTGTGGAATGAAACTTTGATGATGGTGAAACCATTTGGAAAATGAGAATGGCAGAGATTCAATAGAAAATGAAAATAGGAAACGGCAGAACTTGACAATGCTTAATATTCTATGACAAGGCCAAAATATAATAGTTGGTTCTTTTTAAGAAAAACATCTTTTTCATCCAAGGGCTTTTTAGCCTAGGCTGTGTCTGTGTAGCCTGGAGGAGAGAAGTAGTTATTCATGAAACACAAGAGAAGCCATTGAGATCAGCAGATAAAATTGATTGCAGAGGAATAATGTGGATAGCAGCGTGGCATGGAGGATGAATTATGCTAATATAGTAGAGAGGAAGAGTCTGAGGTAAATGATTGATTTTTGTAAAGTAAGAACTGGACAAAGTTCTTGGTGACTTAAGAGCAAATGAAAGATTAGGCAGAATACTATATCAGAATTTATTGCTTTGACAGTGAAATAAGATAGGACCTAGTGATAGGGACTTTGGTCACAGTATATAAGTGGTTAAGAGCTCATGCACTTAACTTTAATCCAGTCTTGACCACTTAACTTTGCATTTCTTTGCAAGTTACAATTATCCAGGTCTCAGTTTTTTCATCCATAAAATGGGCAGAAACACCTACTTCATAGAATTACATGGATTAAATGAGATTATATATGTAGCAACTTTGACTAGTATGACACATCTTCCTGTTATTTGTCTTAGTTTGGGATGTCCAGAGGGGAAAAAAAGAGTTACCATTGTGTTTTCTTGGAATACATGTTTATATCACATCTTCTAAGTTGTTACCCCTTAAAGCAGTTTTCAGAGTTCAGCTTGGTGAAATCTCTTGATTATTTCTCAAACTGTGGTGTGAGGACCTCCGGCATTAGAATCACTTTGGTTGTTAGATAAAAATATAGATTCTTGAGCTGCACGTTAGGGCTGCTCAGTCAGTCTCTGAGAGTAGAACCAAGGAAGTTTTATTCAACACTCAAATATAGCTGTTGCATATCACATCCAATTGGAGAACCACTAGAATGGATGATTCTAAGATCTGGTTTGGTTCAAGATGAATCTACTACGCACTGTGTTAATCTAGAGTAGGAGTTGGGTAGGAATAATAATACCTATTCCTGTTTACAACGTAGGATTGTTGTGGGGGATGAAATAAGATATTTTTAAGTTTGTAAAAGTAGGTTTAAGTTAAAAGATATTTGAAGTTTAGACTCCTGTAGATTGTAACATCTAAAGGGCAGTGACTTTTCTGTACTAGGTGAGTCTAGGTGGCTCATAGTTGTCATTAAGTAGTTTTTGATGACAAATTTCCTGTCCACCAAATTATGAGCTTATTTTTATCTCTTTCATCCACATTTAATTTTTTGCTTATTTTACTTGTGTAGAGGCGAAGCGGGATTATAGACGTTCAAACCAGATGGATATATAATTTGAAATATTAATATCTGTTTAAATTTAGAGGTTTAGAGTGTGTCAGTATTATAAATTTTTTTCTCACAATCTCTGTAACTCATTAATCATTTAAGGTAGATTGTTCTGTTTAAGGATTATCTGTAATCTACCCATAATACTCTTTTCCATCAGTTAACCTCTTCTGCTCTCAATTAATGATAAAACCAACCCAGAACAAAAAGCCACCCTACCGTGAGTGTACTTTATGGGGATAAAATACAATCTCCCATTTTCTCCATTTCCAGAGAGATGTATATGCTCTCTTATTGAGCAGTGTAACTACTTTGTGTTCATTACAGTGTTTCGTGCTTTAAAAATTTTTATTTAATCCTACACATAACTAATAGAATCTCTTTTTTCCCCTGTGGAAATAAAAAAACTGCTTATTAAAAATGCAGAGCCCCAGACGAACAGTACACTTTGAGAGAATTTCAGTGAGTCTGGAATAGGCCTGCAAATCAGCATTTTGATGATTTTGATGGAGGTTGTGCACTGTGAGAAACATTGCTCTGTTTCTTATTACCTCCAGAGGCATAAATATGTAGGTGCTGTCTACATAAAATAAATTAGGAATGGTATGCTTCCAGCTTGAAAATGAACAAATAAATGTACATCAGAACTCCATGTATGTTGGTGTATGTTTCACATAGGAACTGAAGATGATATTAGCACAGATGTCAGATAAAGGGACAAACCTACCATCCACAGGTTACAAGTGTTTAGTATTACAGAAAACATTTTTATAAAAAGGAAGATCATAGGACATGTAACCTCTCAAAGTTTATACTTCTCAGCCTTCCCTTTTAGGTTAGCTTCAGGGATCTAGAAACATTACCATCCATTACAGAAAACTGAAAGATTATGTGGCAAAATAAACAGGGAAGCAGAAATAGAATAGACAGTGTACTTCTGTTAAGAAAAAGTACTTACATTAAGAAAAACTATTGAGCTTTATTAGATACTGAGTACTGTGCTCTTGCAAGCATCTTCTACAGCACTAGTGTTCACCTCTTAAAAGCATTAAATGATACTGGCATTGCCTTCATTCCCTTCAATCCTCAGTTTTTGGTCCTCTTTCCTCTTCCTAATTTAAACAGTCTACTCACTGTTATTCTATTCTTGTAATTTGTCTCACTTTTTTGGCTTCCATGACTTCTTGCTTTTCTTTTTTATTGTATAGTATAAATACAAAATGAATAAAACAGCTTCTAAAAGAAAATTTAAAATATGTATCAAAAGTGAGCAAAAAATTTAAATTTGGTTTAATAAAACCCATTTTCTTTATAGCAGTGTTGCTGTTTTTTCTTTTAGGTATTTACCCCAAAATTATGCCTTGAGGCATATGCCTCAAGGTTGAGGTATATGCCATAAATTGCTTATTTATATTTTTAAAATGCTAATATTAAAGGCTAAGATCTTGGACTGTGTGGCACCTAGGGACATAATTCTCATCAGCCTATCACTGTCATTCACTTCATCAGAATTACAAGGGCTTTTAACACCTGTAGATATGTAAGTTCCTCTTGCGCTTTCATTGCAGTTGTTTCCTCTTCTTAATTTGTTTTTAAAAAGCAGAATTGTTCTTCATTAGAAATTGGAGCAGGTGGATGAAAGTGATAAACAAGGAGAGGATACGTGAGTTCCACTAGGAATTGGTCTTAAAATTTAGTGGAAGGCCAGGGATTAGAATTGGTGACCCCTGACTCATCTGCCAGCCAGTTGCTTAAATTGAGAGCAGTTCTGATAGACACAGTTGTTCCTTGTGTCCTTTCAACTACATTTTGTCTTCTATATGTTGCTCCTGTCCCTTCACCATGTCCTCATTGCACAGATACGCCACTGAGTTTGAAAAGGGATAACTGGTAGCCTTATTAGTAAAGCTGCTGTGTCTCTCTATTCTTTTACTTTCTTCTACACGTCTTGATCGCAGGATTTTATGCTCTGGGTGGACCTGAACGTAAAAGTTGGCCAGCTGTGGCCTTATTTAGTTTTTGGTATTCCAAAAGTAGCTTTTAACATGGAGAAAAGTGCCCTATTATTTGAACTTTTTTGAATCTTTTGGTATCTTTCAGTGGCCCACTAGTAAGAATTTTTTTGTCTTATGTTTAAATGTTTCACTAATAGAAGACTGGGAACAGTTCCCAATAATTATTATGGTTCTGTGGATCTTTGTTTTTTAAGAAAATGATGGATGTAAACATTTCTCTGAGGAAAGAAATGGGGGAATGACATTCAGGATAGGTTGACAAAAGTCACAAAGTTTTTTTCAAGACATTTGTTTTATTAAAACATAAGCAAGGTGCTTGCTTTGGCAGCACATATACTAATATCGGAATAATAGAGAAAACATTAGCATGGCCCCTGGTCAAGGATGCCATACAAATTCATGAAGAACATAAGCAAAGAAAGATATATCACCTTGTTAATTTAACTCTTCCACTGTTGAATTTAAAGTAAGGAGTTAAACTTTGTTTATTATTCTTTAGTTCTACTTTTCCTGAACAAAAAATTGCTTTTACTCTTTGCTTAGTAAACAATTTTTCTTATTTTATTAGTTCACATAGATAGTAAAACTTATCAGTCATTGATTATTGTTGAAGTAAACATGACCTTTCAAGTGAAAGTTATATTAGTGAAATTGATAAAATTTGTAAACTAAATGTGAGTAATAGGCTTTACAGATGTTTATATGAAAGCTTTCTGTTTCTGTAGGGGGCTAGTCTACACTGTGTTGTCCATGTTCTGTTGCTGTGTCTTATCTATGTTCTGCTGTAACTTCGATCCTTGCTTTAAACTTTACATTTATCATGCTGCTTTTTTTACTCTTCGAAAACTGTATTTCTCAATTACCGACTATACAGAGAAATGTGAATACTTATAGTAGAAGCTGTTGCCTGTAGTATGTGATTTTTTTTCCATTAAATTATGAGGGCAAAATCTATAGAGCTACTATTAAAATAATTCTTTGTGGTAATTAACATAGGACAGAACTGTCTTTTTGTTAGATTTTAGGCAGTGTTAATATAGCAAGACTATAAAAGTGTCAGAGAAAAATTTTTTATTTTGGTTTACAAGACAGAATTAAGCTGGATTTGGAGGAAATGTTTTTAATTGTAAACGTGAAAGATTTAAATTAAATATACTTTGGAATATTAAACAAAAACATGTGTGTGAATCTGATTTTATTATTCCTGCTACTCTTCTTTTATAGTACTTACGTAAGCCAGTATCGAAAACAACTTTGGTGATTGTTGAAAGGTGTTGGGTTGAGATTTTTACCTTTAAAGTGGACAGACATGACTTTTACAAATAAGACTTTTACTTTTTTTTTTTTATTAAGAAAGAGGCCAGGAACTATGAACTAGATTTAGATATTTATCTGATTTAGAATGTCTATCTGAAATTTTTGGTTGCCTTTTCTCTGAGTTTGAGGGGAAGACTGCCCTTGTTTTGTGTTACAGTGACTTAGGGATTTTTAGAGAAAGGTTATTAAGGTCTTTCCTAGGCTGGGCATGGTGGCTCATGCCTGTAATTCCAGCACTTCAGGAGGCCGAGGTTGGTGGATTGCTTGAGCTCAGAAGTTTGAGACTAGCCTGGGCAACATGGCAAAACCCTGTCTCTACAAAAAAATACAAAAAAAAGCCGGTGTGGTGGCAGCCACCTGCAGTCCCAGCTATTTGGGAGGCTAGGGTGGGAAGATCAATTGAGCCCAGCAGGTTAAGGCTGCAGTGAACTGTTACCATGCCACTGCACTCCAGCCTGGGTGACAGAAAGAGACCTGTCTTTAAAAAAAAAAATCTTTTTTTGGAGGAAAAGGTAATGGTTATAGAAAAATCATATAAGCTTAACTGATTATTTTAATTTGTTAAGAGTTTAGAGAATAGTATGATAGTTTCTTGGGAGTAGACCATATGGTAAATGTATGTTTTTCAAACTTACTAAATGCAATCAAACTGTTTTCAGTGGTTCAAGAAGTATTTGCAAATTAGAGATGATATTTTGCTTTTTTTCATTTCATTTTGTGAACTGGTGATAACTGTTTTTCAACTTTGTTTTACTCTGTTTTGTGTTGCTATTACAGAATACCTGAGAGGAGGTAACTTATAAAGAACAGAAATTTCTTCTCTTACAGTTCTGGAGACTCCAAGATCAAGGCAAAGGCATCTGGTGTGGGTCTGTTTACTGTGTCCTCACAGGGCAGAGGGCAGAAGGACAAGAGACAGCCCACTCCTAAAAGCCCTTTTTATAATGGCATTAATCTGTGACCTAAACGCCACCATTAGGCCCCACCTCTCAATACACTGGCAATTAAATTTCAACATAAATTTTGGAAGGGGTGAACATTTAAACCATAGCAAACTTTTTCAAACATTTTCTCAATGTTTAAGTCCACTCCATTATCTCACCTATTAAAAGGAAGTTAGGGATGGGGAGAAAGTGGTAGAAAGAATGTATCAAGGCCTGAGATAGTTTGATGTTCAAAGAGTGTCCACTTGTCTCATGTGAGTTGAGGCTAAAGAAGAGCCAAACTGTGGAAAGGCCTGTAAGATTTGTTAAAGATTTTGATTTTAAGGCCAAGGGTAGTGGGAAGCCATTGAATGGCTTTAAGTTGGGGTAGTGACTTGATTTTGTTTGCTTTAGTAAATTGTCTGACTTGTGAATGAAGAACTGATTAGATGGGATAAAATGGAAGCTGGGAGACCAGTTAAAGAGGCTGTTGCTATAGTCCAGGGAGAGATGTTGGTGACTTGCAGTAATAACCTTCCAGTGATACTCACATTCTTTAAAAATCTAACTTAGATTTTCTAATTCTAATGCTTATGCCTTAAACCTCTTCCCTGATGTTCTTTTTTGTTGTTGTTTCAATTCTCTATAAATTCTCATTTGACAAGCTAGATAACATGGTTTTATTGTTTTACTGATTAAGAGTGCTAGTATAAATGGGTGATATCTTTATGACTAGTATGAATTCCTTTATAGAGGGTTTATTTACTTTCTAAGGTATCATTACTACCTACCATCAAGAAGCTGTTATGGTTGCTGCTCTGTATTATCAAGCAGTGATGACTAGTAAGCATTTTTTATTTTAAAAAAAATTTTTTATAGTAGGTTCTTGCTATGTTGCTTAGGCTGGTGTTGAACTCCTGGGTGTAATTCTCACACCTCTGCCTTCCAAAGTATTGGGATTACAGGCATGAGCCACTGTGCCTGGCCCCAGTGACATTTTTTAATGCCAACTCAGGATACTTCAATCATTTTTTTATATTTCTTTATTAATCTTTTTATTTTCTAAAGTCAGTTTTAAGACAAAAATCTACTCTTTCCAGAGGTATTAACATGATTTTAAAAATAATAAAGTACCTTGATAAAGATGTATACTTGAAATCCTCTGTCTTTATGATCTTCTAGTTACTTGTCTATCATTCCTTCCTTCTGTCTTACCTTGCAGGATAAATTAGAATAGGCCTTAGTTGAGTTTCAGAATTATTGAAAGATTTGTGAGTTCTTTTACTTTCTACTTGTTGTGTCTTTTGAAAATTGAGCTTCTCATTTTTCTCTTCCTTTCAAGAAGTTAGCTATTTCTCAAACTTTGGAATTACTTTTTTACTATTTCTGCTTAATACCTAGGTTGTCAAAGTGCCTGCAACTAGTATGACAGCATTAGATATTTGTTGAATGCAGAAGATGCTGTACCTGTGTGAAAGACCTAGTGTCCTCTAAGATTTCTTGTAGCATGTCACCAGAATAGATTTCAAAGTGTCCTGCCCAGGGGTGGAAGGGCTAGAAAGGGTAAAATTTTCTCATTCTGAAGGGGAAAACACTGGGCTCCTATTTTTCCCTCTTTGTTTAATGGAAATCTATCCCTTTTATAATGTTATGAGAAGCTTACTTATATTGGTTAAAATGAGAAGAAAGCAGGTCTTTTCTTAAAACCATTTCCCCTACCCCATTTTTAATTATTAAAAAGGCACAGGGAAGTTGAGATCTGGAACATTTTCAGGCTTTCTTGGCCTGTCCTAGCAAAGCAGTCCTAAATGTGGTCCCAGGTGTTATTCAGTTGAATGATAAATCCGAAGTTTTGTGATTTGCTCTTTTCCTGGTTCCTGTTGTTCTATATATACTTTTTGTATTTAGGGAAGTGAAGTTTTTTGATAGTTGATTTTAAAATCAGTGTCTTTATTCTGGGCTACCAACCAAATAATAACAATTTGAAGTATATTTCTTCCCAAAAAGATGTCAAGTCATTTCTTAAGAGTGTTAGAACAGTTACCTTTAAAGATGAAATGATTCTTGGTTCTGATGCCTTCATATTGTAATTTTTCTGCCTGTACATCAGTGTGTCTGTATCTGTGACTTGAATTTTTTTTTTCTTTCCTTTAGGTCTTTTTGGAGAAAACATTATAATGGATGTCTAGTTATTTAGTAATTGAATGCAGGTTAGTTAGCATCTTTTTTTTTCTCCTCTCAAGAAGCTGCTTAGTGTGTGTGTGTGTGTGTGTGTGTGTGTGTGTGTGTGTGTATGTGTGTGTGTGTGTGTGGTTTTTTTTATATTAGATTGACAGGGCCTAAAATGTTGCATTGCCAATATAGAAATTTTATTTGAAAATTTATTCTTTTTTCATATATCTAACTTGTCTATCATTAAGTTTGTGAGAGGATAGGACAAAAAGATGCTAACTAACCTGCATTCAATTACTAAACTAAGTAACAACAAGCCCTATGTAGAGTATCTTCTGTATTTAGAGAAAGGTTTAAGAAATTTAAGTCCTCTAAAAATTTTGTTAATACAAAAATGTACCGTTTGTGTTGAACTGGATCTACAATTTAAGTGAATTAAGAAACAAACTATTAAGAATTATTTTAAAAGGATGGTTGCTTGTCTCTTTTATAAAAGGAAATTCTACCATTACAAATTTGCCACTCTCTTTGGGACTCTAAAACTTTTATGTTGAGGCATTTTAAGAAAGAGATTTGAGAAATTGATTGAGTTATTCAAATTTTGGTCTGTATCCAGGTAGATATATATTTATTTGGAGCCATCTATGTGGGGATAATTAGTCATTTAAGTGTTAACAATATTGAAATACGTTTTGGATGCTTGCCTTTGTAATTTGTCAGGAATTAACATTAGAAGACCTTAAATAACGCTGGATGCAGTTGCTCATGACTGTAATCCCAGCACTTTGGGAGGCCCAGTGGGGCGGATCACTTGAGGTCAGGAGTTCGAGACCAGCCTGGCCATCATGGCGAAACCCTGTCTCTACCAAAAATACAAAAATTAGCTGGGTGTGGTGGCGTGCGCCTGTAATTCCAGCCACTTGGGAGTTTGAGGCAGGAGAATCGCTTGAACCTGGGAGGCAGAGGTTGTAGTGAGCCGCTAAGATTGGGCCACTGCACTCCAGCCTGAACAACAGAGTGAGACTCTGTCTCAAAGGAAAACAGCAACAAAAAGAAGTCCCTAAGTAACTAGTGGTTAAATGTTGACTTCCAAGTATTTTTACTCTCCTTACACATGCCACATGCACATTGTCTAGTGCCACAACATATAATGTTTATATTTTTAGTTTATTCTGTGCTAGTTGTGCTTTTAGTTTAGTAATAGAAATATATTACTTTAGTTAGATGGATGGAATCTTGTAATGTTTTGTCAGACTGATAGTAAGTACTAAGTATGGGGTATTACAGACAAGAGGAAAAAAAATTTCTGGGAAGAAAGCCAGACAATGTTTGTGTTTTCCTTTAGAAGTGATTGTTTGGTGGTGGGAAGGGGCTTAGTTTAAAAAAAAAAAATTAGATTGACAGGGCCTAAAATGTTGTATGGCCAATGCAGAAATTTTATTTGAAAATTTATTCTCTTTCTTCATATATCTAACTTGTCTATCAAAAGTCTTTTGGGACAGTGTGGACTTTATGATAACTTTTGAACAGTGTTACCTTTCATAATGCTTAAAAGCAACCCAGGGCAGCCAAATAGGAAAGGTGACTGCCTCTAGGATGTGTATCAATATAGAAAAGAAAAGATATCAAAAGACTCAATGTGTAGTAAAATGAGTTTTTTTGTTTTTGTTTTTGTTTTTGTTTTTTGAGACGGAGTTTTGCTCTTGTTGCCCAGGCTGGAGTGCAATGGCACGATCTCAGCTCACCACAACCTCCATCTCTCAGGTTCAAGCAATTCTTCTACCTCAGCCTCCCGAGTAGCTGGGATTATAGGCGCACGCTACCACACCCAGCTAATTTTTGTATTTTTGGTAGAGACAGCGTTTTGCCATGTTGGCCAGGCTGGTCTAAAACTCCTGACCTCAGGTTATCTGCCCGCCTTGGCTTCCCAAAGTGCTGGGATTACAGGCATGAGCCACTGTGCCTGGCAAAATGAGTTTTCAAGTAGGAAAGAAACTACATAATACACAAAAGTAATAAACAAGACATTGAGATTTTTTTTTAATACTCATAATCTTGCTTCTTAAAAGTTGAAGCAACATAGTTATGAAAAAAACTGTTGGTGATTATGGCCTGTTAAGTGATTCTATATCCATTGTTATTTAAGGTCATTATGAATTATCAGCTTACCATCTTCTACTGTATTTAAAGCTACTCTAATATATATTGTTAATTTTCTTCATTAGCTGGTTTTAAATGACCAAATATTGCTTTGATGGAAATGTTTGTGATGAGGTTTTTGTGCTTTGTTTTATTTTTGTTTTTCAAATTTCTCACTCTTAACATTGCTGGTTCCTCAAAGATGATTTCACATTATCTTCATAGCAAGCAGAAGTGATCCATTTTTACTCTTTCTGTGACAGATTGATGTTTTATTAAAAAGAGGGCCTGCATCTTCCTAAGTAAAATAAAGCACTAAACAAACCCTTAATGTAGGTAGTGTCTTTTCAGTGTAATTGACACTTTTAGGTTGGTTTTTGCAGGAACTAGTAGGAACTATTGTGTGCATGTTTGTTTCCTTAATTTTTTTAGAAGCTCTGTTCTGATTTTGAGAATTTACCTTTTATCTCTTATTCTTCTAAATTTATGCCCGATTTTGTTTTTTTGTGCATTTAAAAAACTAGCCTATAAATTCTGTTGCAAGTATTGGCCTCTAGCTGCAGTCACCATTATCCCTTCTCCCCGCAAAGAAGAACATCTAATGTTAGAAATCTGTTTTGCACAGCCTAGTTAAAACTTGTATTTACTTGTACCTGTTTTGATGTAATTCATCTTATGAGTTAGGGCCAGAGAACTGCATGGAACTATTTTAATCTTAAAACCCGGGCATTTGTAGATACTCTACACATTTTGTGGCTGTAGGCAAAAAGAATTTTCTGTTGTGTGTTAGGTATTTTTGAAGATGCCTAACTTATTCTGGGCAATATACAGTGTATCTTTCATGACAGTAAGACTAAAATATTAGGAAGATAATTAGCAGTGAAGTGAAGCATAGGATAATTATGTATAGAAGCAAGCTTTGTTTTCTCAGAAGTTTATAAGATAAAACATTTAGAAACAGCTAACTACCCAACCCAATAAACCAAATCATTTTTATCTTTTAGTTTCTTATGCTTAGGGAAAACAAATAAGGGACTGTGGAAGGCAAAAGCTTCATCTCTGTATTCTAATTTGACAATGCATTTGATACCTGTGGCCTTTCAGCATAGATATTGTATACCCCTTGTTTTTATTGGGTAGTTAATATAGTGTCCTGAGTTTTGTTCTGTTCCAACAGTTTACTCATTGTTTTCTGATTAATCTTTAAAATACTACCTCTATTCTTTTGATGACTTCCAAACCTCTCCTGGCTATACCCAATACTACAGAATATAGAATGCTGTAGTCCAATGAGGGCAGTCTTGTCAAACACTCTGGTTATTCACAACCCTGTTTATTTGGTCTTCATCTTCCCAACCTCTGTTTAACTTACAGTTCTGTGTCTCCTTAATAGCCCTGCTTTAGTTTCATTTTCTCTGCAAAGCCCTCTTTTTTCTTACTATTCTAGGCCTTGTGAATTGTTGATTTAGTGCAAATGTAACTGAATTCCTATACTGTGCTAGGCACTGATGATACTTCATCTGCATATGTCCAGTATTAAGCAAAGTTTTCTCTAAAAAAAAATTTCTAAAAAAAAGTCATCTTATATTTGAGTCCTTAAAAAGTTTTTCATATTTTGAGCTCTCTCTCAATTATTTTATTTTGAATAGAAGTATAGTATTTGGAGAATATAGAAGAGCTTGAAATGATGTCAGTCAGTACTTGTTTTAAAAGTCTGTAGAGGTTTCCTGAGGGAATAGATAAAAGGGTATAGTAAAAAGTTTAAACAAATTAGAAATTATTTGTGGGCAGGGAGTTATACTCTTATAAGTTGTTGTGAAAAAAGCCTTTACAATCACTTTTAAAAGAGATATGTAAGCAGTTACATTGTGAAGATCATAGTATGTACCTGTAGCACAATTAAAAAACCAACCATCTTAGAATCATGTGAATGGATATTTGTGGCTTGGAAAAACATTTTCAATGATGGTATTATGACTTCTAAAAGTATTGTTTCTCAGAACAACTTAAATGGAAGTAAAGATTATTCACTTCATGATACTTACAGGTCACTCAAAAAGAAAGTAACGAGATGATACTTGGTGAAGATGTAGGTAAAGTTTGAATAAAGTTATTTTGTAAAATTTATGTGCTTTGTGATTTTAAAACATTCATAAGACTAAATTAATAAAAGTATATATTGGACTGTATGATGTACATGGAAAGGTTTGTATATTTCAAATTGGTAAAAATTTAAAAAAAGAACTTTTTATTGGGGAAAATTGGGAAATCCTTTGTGTTGAGATTTGCCTGGTACTCATTTATTTATGGTAGCTTGCAAGTTTCTGGGCAGTAGGATGATTATTAAGCATAGTCAGAGACTGTTAAATAATACCTACTGAACTAATAAAATTTTGTATACATTTACTGATTGATGCCATGAAAGATTGTACTATACCAGAATTTTCCAAGTACCTAAAATCATTCTTTTGTATAGTATTCTTGATACTTAAAAAAAACTATACTGTAAGATGTTTTGGATTAAAACCATCATTCAATTTAATCCATCTTCTATAGCTGATTCTTTGGACTTGTGGTTTGTCCCCAGAGTGGCAGGAGCAATGACACGTGAAAGGGAAACAAGAATTGCTTTTTAAGTTGGATTTATTACATTTGAAACTTCATTAACTCTTCCCAGAGGACTAAGTTGCCTGTGGTAGGCACAAGTTTAGGAAAGAGATTGTTTCATACCTCTTTATACTGTTTCTCAATGACTTTTTGATGATTTCAGACAGCATTAGAATGTTTTTCCAGAAATTCCTCAAATTTGTAAGTTCCCGAAACAGTTCTTATTTTTCTGCTTAACATTGGTTGCATACATAGGAGAATTGTGATAGGTAAGCTAGTCACAGGACTATGAAAGATATTGTCATCTTAATCAGAAAAAAGTGTAGTGAAATTGATAATTGTAAAAGATTTACATTTCATCCACCTGTTTCAAAGAGTAGAGGGAAATCAGTAGTAGTTGAGTTTTTATTCAGTTATAATTTGTTTTTGCATTTTATCATTCATTAAGTACTGTTTGTGTTAAGAACTCAAGTAAGATGGATAGTCTTAGACCCTAGTGGCATCTTTTTTTTTTTTTTTTGGGACGTTTGTTTTACATTGATTTAATTCAAAGCTGCAGACCCCAAAAACTCCTTAATGCCAATGATAAAATTGTTAGGTATTTCATCATATTGAGAATGACACATTCTAAGCAACTATAACTGTACTGTACAAGAAGACAAGGCTGAGTGCTTGGCTCACACCTGTAATCCCAGCACTTTGGGAGTCAGAGGCAGGAGGATCTCTTGAGGCCAGGAGTTCAAGACCGGTCTGGGCAAAATAGCAAGACCTTATCTATACAAAAAATAAAAATAACTAGCAGTATGTGGTGGCACATACCTGTTGTCCTAGTTACTTAGGAGGCTGAGGCAGGAGGATCGCTTGAGCCCAGGAGCTCAAGTCTACAGTAAGCTATGATTGCACCACTGCATTCCAGCCTAGGCTATAGAGCGAGATCTTGTCTCAAAAAAAAAAAAAAGTTTAAAGAAGGGAAACTAGTGAAAATGTGATTAAAGAATGTAATAGATGGAACAGTTTGGGAAAAAAAGAACTCTTTAATTTTATATTAAGCTACATCCAGATATTTTTTGATTGACTACATCTATTTGTCAATTTACCAAATATTAATTGAATGCCTTCTGAGTTTCAAGAATTGTGCTAGATATTAGGGATTCAGTCATGAAAATATTACACTATTTGCTTGCAAGAAGCTGACAGTCTGGTGAAGGACATTCCATTCTATCACCACCTTCTATCTTCTTTCTAAATAAAGACGTGTCAGTTTAGGCCATTCTAACTCATATATCTTCTCTGGTCCTTAAATCAGGTATCTATCATTATTTTTATAAAAATTAATTTTTTAATTGACAAATAATTGCATATATTTATTATCAACATGGTTTGAAATATGTATATGTTGTGGGATGGCTAAATCAAACAAATTAACATATCTATTACCTCACATATGCAGTACTTATTTTTTATGGTGAGAACACTTAAAATCTAACCCCAATGGAATTCTGACATGTAGAAGAACGTATATAGACAACTGATTTAAAAATCAGTGAGTAAATATAAAACAATTACATTGGATTGCAAGAAGTGTGCACTTTGGGAGAAGGAGGAGTCCTGATTAAAAGATTTTTAAGATTTTATTATGCATACCTTGAGAAAACTTGGAAATTGTCACCATATGAGAGGTTTTTCTGGGAGGCTTTCTACAAGAGCTGGGCTTTCTGGAACTACTGGGATAATAGAGTGAGGACATTCAAAATGTATTTGCCTGAACCATGTCTGATTGCTCCAGCTCCATTTGTTGGAAAAGCTATTCCTTTTCCATTGAATTGCCTTTGCTTATTTGTCAAAAACGAATTAGACGTGTTTGTATGTAGATCTCTTTCTGGGTCCTATATCTTTTTCACTGATGTATGTTTCTGTCCCTCTGTCAGTACCTTGCTGTCTTTATTATTGCAGTTACATTTTAAGCCTTAACGTCAGGAAAGCGGGTGGTGATTTCTCCCACTTTATTATTATTTTTCAAAAAAGTTTAGAATATACTTGTTTACAGTGAAACTTGCTGAGATTTTGATATGAATTGCATTACACCTATCCATCAATTTAGGGAGAATTGACATCTTTATGTTCAATCTTCCAATCCATGAACAGTTTGTCTTTCCAAATGTTTAGGTTTTATTTGATTTCTTTCATCAGCATTTTAAAATTTTAATCATAGGGATCCTATACATGTTTTGTTAAATTATACCTAAGTGTTTTATTTTTCTTCAGAGCAACCGTAACTGGTGTTGCATTTTTAATTTTAGTTTCACTTGTTCATTGTCACCAAATAGAAATGCAATTGATTTTTGTGTTTCGTTCATCTATCCTGTGACCTTACTTAATTCGCTTATTAGTTCGGGGGCTGCTGCTGCTGCTTCTTTTTTTTTTTTTTTTAAAGATTCCTTCGGAATTCCTCCGTATACCAGCATGTCATCTGCAAATAGAGGGAGTTTTATTTCTTCCTTTCTAGACAGTATGCCCTTAAGTTCTTTTCCTTGCCTTATTGCAGTAGTTACAACTTTCAGTACTGTGTTTCAGTACTGTGTTAGAGTGTTGAGAGTGAAATTGTTGACTTGTTTCTGAGCTCAGCAAAAACATTTGTTGTTTCACTGTTAAGTATGACATCAACTGTAGGTTTTTTGGTAGGTGCTTTTTATGACATTGAGTAAGTTCCCTTCTATTCCTAGTGTACTGATAGTTTTTTTTTTATTGTGAATAATATTCAATTTTATCTAATGCTTTTTCTGCAACCACCGATATGACCATATGATTTTTCACTTTTAGTCTGTTGATTTGTTAGATTGTGTGATTGATTTTTGAATCTTGAGACAGCCATGTATGTCTGGAGCAGATCCCACTTTGCTGTGATGTAATACTTTTAAAAAATATATTGTTGGATTCTCTTTGCTAAAATTTTGTTGAGGACTTTTGCACCTAAGTTAATGAGAGATACCGGTCTGTGTTTTTCTTTTTGGGCTTTGTTTTTGATATCGAGATGATACTGGTCTCATAAAATGAGTTGGGAAGTCTCTTTTGTTTCTGGAAGAGGTTGTATAAAATTGGTGTTGATATATTAATCATGTTTTTAAAAAACAAAACTTGAATTGTCCTCAGATACAGTTGCTTGAGGTGAAAATTTTCTCATAGAAGTAGACTTTTGGCCGGGCGCAGTGGCTCACGCCTGTAATCCCAGCACTTTGGGAGGCTGAGGCGGGCAGATCACAAGGTCAGGAGATTGAGACCATCCTGTCTAACACGGTGAAACCCTGTTTCCACTAAAAATACAAAAAAAAATTAGCCAAGCTTGGTGGCTGCCGCCTGTAGTCCCAGCTACTTGGGAGGCTGAGGCAGGAGAATGGCATGGACCCAGGAGGCGGAGGTTGCAGTGAGCCGAGATCGCACCATTGCACTCCAGCCTGGGCGACAGAGTGAGACTCCGTCTCAAAAAAAAAGAAGTAGACTTTTGCAGAGTTATGGTAAAACATTTTACCAAATTTCAGATTCTGTGTATTGCTATTTTTTTTTTAATGGTAGGAAGAATGAAGCAGTCAGTACTAGTCAGTAAACCATAAGCAGTACTTTGAATATAGAACTATTATATAAATTAACTCATACTAGATTATGTGATTAGACTTACTGATTTACTGTAAACTGAGTGTGAATTATGGTTCTGGAAAAGAATTTGGAAATTGAATCAATCTGCTTGATTTTACAGATGCGGAAACAAGGTAGTGAGGGGTTTGGTACCTTGTCCAAGGTCACAGTTTGTGAAACAGATTCCAGATTCAGGCCAACTCTATTAAGCCAGTGGGTTTTACATAGGGAGGAACATTAGATTACCAGTGGGTCTTTGCAGAAAAACAAAAACAACAACAAACCCCACACATGTGCATATACTATATTCTGTATACATTAGAAGTAGCAGCCCTTCTTCTATAGAATACAGGTGAGACAGATTACCAGAGGAGTTTGCAGTATGTCAGTTCATGCTATTTTTTCTTCCGTAGTTGAGAGGAAGTCCATGGCACCATTAGTATAGTGTGTGTGTGTGTGTGTGTGTGTGTGTATACACACATACATGTACTCTTTATATATAGTAGCATGTATATATATAGTGTATGTATGTGTATATTTATATATATTCTCAAAATAAACTTTTCAGCTCCCCATTCCCAGGACCTACATAATGGCACTCAGACATATGAATGTGAGAAAATATAGAGGGGATTCTGATGCACATCATTGGTTAAGAACTGCTGTACTAAACCCTGCACGCAAACCTTTTATACTTATTTATTTCTTTTGAAAATGTCAGTAGTAACTATTTAGAGTTACTTTGATAGAATAAACCTATGGGTAGAGATTTAAAGTTTCAGAAAATTTTAAATTGGGAGATGTCGTTAAAACTTAATATACATAAATAACCATGCCATCCTTTTTAGAACTACACCTTTAAAGTTGTAATGTAAGCTTAAGAATATAAAAATACATATAATTTACTTATTTTTATAATCATGATGTTACTATATTGAGTTTTTTTAGAGACTTGATGGGATAGAGACTGATTGCAGAATCAGCTTGAGGAGGGGTGGGAAAATTGTCACAGCATTCCCCGTAAGCCATTTTCTTTCTACTTATGAAAAATACCACTCTAGTTTAGATCTAGAAAACCATCCTTAATCCTATCTACCTTAAAAAATGGTGGAAATATCTTTTTAATAAATAAAATGGCCCTTTGTTTATCTTTTTTCTAGACTAGGATGGCAAATACAAGACACTAATGCTGCTCCCCTTCCCTTCCAATACTATGAAATCCTCTCTAAAAATATCCTCAAAATCTTTCTTGGTATAGTGCCCTAGGCAGCCATTACTAACGCTGATTGGAATTGACTCCGAAGGTAAAACCTATTTGGCACTTTTGCTCTAGGCAGTGTTCAATTTTTTTGTCAGTTTTGTTTAGTTTTTGGGGTGTTCCTATGCCTGAGTGGGATTCTTCTTTTGGAAATTGGAAATAGTTGCATAGTGGTTTTTAACATGAATTAAATAGGTGATAATTCACAGAGCCCCCTTTCCCAACAAAATAAACAAAAGGTAGGTTAGACGGACTATTGGGATTAGGATGTTGTTTTAAGCTAGGAGGTGGCAGACCGCACAACCTATGGGCCAAATCCATCTTGGAGCTAAGAATGATTTTTATATTTTTAGATGGTAGCAAAAAAAAAAAAATCCAAAAAAAGAATAGTATTTTGTGAGTTGTAAAAACTACCAAAAAAATCCAAAAAAAGAATAATATTTTGTGAGTTGTAAAAACTACATGAAATCCAATTTTCAGTGTCCATAAATAAAGTTTTAATGCAACATAATCATGTTCATTCATGTATTGTCTATGGATGCTTTTATGCTACAAGGGCAGAGTTAAGTAGTTGTGACAGACCACATGGCCTGTAAAGCCTGAAATATTTACTGTCTGAATCTTTACATAAAAAAATTGCCATTCCTGTTTTAAGATAACAGTGGGGGCATTGAATATTGCTTTTGTATTATTTGGTAAAGGAGGAAACTTACCTTGCTCATATTTTCAACATGTTTCTGAAAATAATTTAGAAAGTGCCTATTGTTTGCATACAGATAAGTGGTGGTAGCAGCCCTTCTTTTTTTTGTTTTTTTTGTTTTGTTTTGTTTTTTTGAGACAGAGTCTCTTTCTGTTGCCCAGGCTGGCGTGCAGTGGTACGATCTCGGCTCACTGCAACCTCCACCTCCTGGGTTCAAGGGATTCTCCTGCCTTAGCCTCCTGAGTAGCTGGGATTACAGGTGCGCGCCACTATGCCCAGCTAATTTTTGTATTTTTAACAGAGAAGGGGTTTCACCATGTTGGCCAGGCTGGTCTCAAACTCCTGACCTCATGATCCGCCTGCCTCGGCTTCCCAAAGTGCTGGCATTACAGATGTGAGCCACCGTGCTGGGCCCATTCTTTTATACACGGTTGAGATGGAGTTACCAGAACATAGTTTGCACTGTCAGTTCATGCTATAATTTCTTCCACAGTTGAGAGGAAGTCCATGGCACCATTACTGCCCACAAATACTGGCAACTTATAACTACATCTCTGTGCTAGTATATTGTAGAACCACTGTTCTCAAACTTTTTAGTCTCAGGACTTCTTTAGAGCTCTTAAAAATTAAAGACCCCAAAACTTTTTTAAAATAGTAATATATATCAATATTTACCATATCAAAAATTAAAGAAAATGTTTAAATATTAACTTATTTAAAATAGCAATAATAATCCATTATGTGTTAGTAAAGAACAAGTTTTTATGAAAAATATTTTCCAAAACAAAAAATTAGTAAAATTACAGTCTCTTAATGATTGTTGTAGTAGAAGAAAACTGGATTATTGTATCTGTTTCTCCGTTCAGTTTTTGTGATATGTTATTTTGATTGAAGCATATGAAGGAAATCTGGTCATACACAGATACATAGTTAGAAAAAAAGGAATAGTATTTTAATAATTTTTTTTTTTGGTGTGACTGTTTTTCTTTGATATCATACCATAACTCAAGATATGGTAGTTTCTTTTCTATTGTTTTTTTTGAAGTCAGTTTTATTTACATAGAATAAAATGTGCTTTTTTAGATATGCAATTCCATAAGTTTTGATTAGAATATATGAACCATACATATTATACAATCATAATACACCCTAGTCAAGGCGTGGTGTTCCTATTTCCTTCATCCCACAAAGTTTCCTCATGCCCTTTTGTAATCACCTCCTTTTCCCTCACTCCCAGCTTCTGGCAATCTCTGAGCTGATTTCTGTCTGCCTTTTCCAGAATATTATGTAAATGGAATCATACGGGACAGCCTTTTGAGTCTGTCTGCTTTCACTTAGCATAATGTTTGAGATTCATCCATTTTGTTGTAGGTATCACTAGTTCATTCCTTTTTTATTGTATGGATATTTGCTTCTCCATTCACCATTGATGGACATAGGAGTGTTTTTAGTTTTCAGAGATTATCAATAAAGCCACTCTGAACAGTCATCTACAGATTTTTACATGGACTTATGTTTTTATCTCACGTAGATACCTACACATGTGATTGCTGGGTAGTATGGCTGGTGTATGTTTTAACTTTAAGAAGCTGTAAAGCTGTTTTCCAAAGTGACTGGGCCATTTTGCTCTACCACCATCAATATGTGAAAGTTCTAGTTGCTCACATTTTCAGCAATACTTGATATTGTCCGTTTGTGTTTTTGTTTTGTTTTAGCCATTCTAATTAGTGTTAGTATTTCATTGTAGTTTTAGTTTGCATTTCCCTGATGATTGATAATATTGGGTAGCTTTTTTCAAAAAAAATTTTTATTCTTTGCTCTTTGGCAAAGGACCTATTTGAATCTTTTGCCCATTTAAATAATTGGACAGTGTTTTTTCCTATGATTGACTTGTAAGAGGCCGTTATATTTTCTGAGCATCAGTCCTTTTTTAGAAATGTGTTTTGCAAGTATTTTCTTCCAGTCTGTGACTTTTTTCATCCCCTTAGCCTTCAAAGAGTAGAAGTTTTCATTTTAGTGAGGTTCAGTTTATCGGTTCTGTCTTTTTTGTAGGTCATATGTGTTGTTCTAAGAAATCTTTCGTAATTCAGGGTCACAAAGATTTTTCATGTTTTCTTTTGGAAGTTTAATAGTTTCAGGTATTATTTTAGGTCTATGATATGTTTAGAATTAATTTTTGTATATGGCGTGATATATGGGTTGAAGTTGTTTGTTTTTTCTTTTTGTGTATGGATATTCAATTGCTCCAGCATCTGTGGTTGCTACGACTATCGTTTTTCTATTGAATTGCCTTGACATCTTTTCTCTACATCAGTTGACCATTTATATGTGGGTCTATTTCTGGGTTCTCTGTTCTGTCCCATTGATACATGTTTCTGTCTTTTCACTATAACCATACTGTTTTTATTGCTGAAGTTTTATAGTAAGTCTTAAAATCAGTTAGTATGAATTCTCCTTTGTACTTCTTTTTCAGAATTATTTTGGGTATTCCAGTTTCCTTGTTTTTCAAATAGACAAGACATAATTTTGTAAATGCTAGTTGCAGTGGGGAAGCTGAAACCATTGATGAACTTTTTGTCTTTTGTAACATTAAAGTCTGCTTTGTCATGCACATTGAGTGGATTTTTTTTTAACCCATGAATACTTTTGTAATATCACAATTCATTTGGAAAATATTGGTTCTCTGAATTATGTAGACTTTCTAAATACTGTCACATTTCATTATTCAATATTTAAAAGTCACATTTATTGATATCACCACTGATCTCATCAGAAAATTCTTTTGACTATTGGAAAGGTTGACACCATCACCTATTGCTGATGGTAGTAGATAAAAATTTTCAAAATTTTTATTTTTTGCTTGAAAACTTAAATTTTATCATTGGAAACGCATACTTGTTAGTTGCCTTTCTTGAAGTCACAGGTTCACTTGGTTTACTTTTGAGAACATGCCTGTCAGATACCCAAGTCTAAATAGCCATAGGTTGTTAGTTTACAACTCAGTCATACGTGGGCTTTTTCTTGAGGCAACCATTGTACAGTTGATCCTTGAATAACAAGGGTCTTAATTGTGTCAGTCTACACATATGTGGATTTTTTTCAATAAGTATGTTGGAAAAGGCTTTGGAGATTTGGGACAATTTGAAAAAACTCACAAATGAACTTTTTAGCCTAGAAATATTGAAAAAATTAAGAAAAGATATATGTCATGAATGCATAAAATATATGTACAAACCAGTCTTTTATTATTTGCTACCATAAAATATACGCACATCTATTATAAAAAGTTAAAATTTATCAAAACTTACATACACACTTACAGACCATACATGGCACAGTTTGCAGTTGAGAGAAATGTAAACAAATGTAAAGATACAGTATTAAATTATAATTGCATAAAATTAACTATAGTACATAGTGCACTACTGTAATAATTTCATAGCCACCTCCTGTTGCTATTGCGGTGAGCTCAAGTGTTGCAAATATCTACTTACAACACCATATGATGCTAATCATCTCAGCTTGAGCAGTTTGTCTCTCCAGTAAATTGTATATCACAGTAAAAAGTGATCTCTTGTGGTTCTAGCATATTTTTCATTGTGTTTAGTGCAATGCCGTGAACCTTGAATAACACCTTGGGACCCATACAAAGTGCCACTCTTGGTACTGGAATTGCTCCTGAGAAGAGAAAAGTCTTGACATTACAAGAAAAAGTGGAATTGTTTGATACATACCATAGATTGAGGTCTGCCGTTGTGGTTGCCATTTATGATTTATTTTGTGAACAGAAGGTGTAAACTTACAGTATCGATAAATACAGTTCAGTACTGTAAATGTATTTTCTGTTCCTTATTTTTAAAATAATATTGTCTTTTCTTTAGCTTACTTTAGTGTAAGAATTTAGTATATAATATGTATAACATAGAAAATATGTGTTAATCGACTGTTGATGCTATTGGTAAAGCTTCTGGTTAACAGTAGTCTATTGGGAAAGTTTTTGGGGAGTCAAAAGTTACACACTGATTTTTGTTTGTGCAAAGCCAGTGATCCTTACCCCTGAGTTGTTAGGGGTCAACTGTAGTCACTATGCAGCAGAGTTATGTTTGCTTAGTTTTTGTCCCACACAATATTAAAAAGTAGTCTACTCAAGGGCCAAGGTTTCATAAAATTAACAATTTCTGTGGCTTTTCATCAAGGACATTCTCAAGTGAAGTGAAACTAGTGGTGTTCAGAGAAATACTGTGATATATATGGTTATTTCCTATTATAATGGCTATTTTTATATTTAAAGTACAGGGATTAACCTGGAAACCTAAACCCAAAGTTATAAGTGGGAAGACGGTGAATTACTGACACTTTAGGAATACCTAAAGTTGCTATCTTGGGAAACAGTCTTTTATTTTAACAGATAATGTGGTTATATTATTGTTTTTATTATCTTATAGGTGCTATACTTGGTAGATCAGAAACTCAGGAGTGTCTTTTCTTTAATGCTAATTGGGAAAAAGACAGAACCAATCAAACTGGTGTTGAACCGTGTTATGGTGACAAAGATAAACGGCGGCATTGTTTTGCTACCTGGAAGAATATTTCTGGTTCCATTGAAATAGTGAAACAAGGTTGTTGGCTGGATGATATCAACTGCTATGACAGGTAAGAACACATTTAAGATTTTATGGTAGTATTGAGTAATTTTCACACTTCCCCTCTTTTTGAAAGGGGAAAGATCAGTGCATAAATTTTCACTTAAATGTTTCTTGCTTTTTAAAAAATGGGATTATAAAGAACATTATAACATGCTGTAATGACAGTATATTTTAAAGTAATAAACATGGCATATATATGTTTTATCTTTGATATATTTTGAATAATCTACCCAGTAGTGAGAACTCTGAAATAAAAACCATTTTCCCCAATATTGTTACGATTATAAACTTTTAAAATGCCAGTTTTAAGGAAAACATTTAAAAAATTACTTTAAAAGAGTATATCTGTTGAAAATCTGTCCTCAAGAAGAATAAAACTTAATCATGTGTTTAATTTTCTTTCAGTTTCCTTCTTTATGTATCTGGAAGAAATTGATCTTACTACATTCCCCCCTCCCCCCGCCCCTTTTTTTTTTCTTGCAAAGTAGGCCTTTCGCTCTTTACCCGAAGAGACTTTTTATTTTTGAGACAGATTTCGCTCTTGTTGCCCAGGCTGGAGTGCAATGATGCAATCTTGGCTCACCGCGACCTCCGCCTCCCGGGTTCAAGCAATTCTTCTGCCTCAGCCTCCCAAGTAGCTGGGATTACAGGCATGCACCACCATGCCTGGCTAGTTTTGTATTTTTAGTAGATACAGGGTTTCTCCATGTTGGTCAAGCTGGTCTCGATCTCCCGACCTCAGGTTATCCGCCTACCTCAGCCTCCCAAAGTGCTAGGATTACAGATGTGAGCCACCATGCCTGGTCTACCCCAAGAGACATTTTAACTTGACATTCAGAATTTCATCAGAACTAACAGTCCTCAAACTACATACTTGTTTTAATTGCTTTACTCTGTACTGGAAGTAAAATACAGTGGTCATGTTATTGACTGCCTGTGATCTTTCTGTATGGAGTCCCATAGCTGTTAGGGTGATCCCTTAACTGCCTGGGCCACAGGATTTCTACTGTGGGTAGGTGCTGAAGACAGGCAGAAGCTGTGAAGTCCTAGATAAACAGACATTTTGGAGCCAAAAAGTACTGCTGTATACAGTGAACACTAGATACTTCTGGATCACTTTTGAGAGCCTCAGTTGATTACCTGGAATCTGTGTTTGATTAGCTGTATGTGACTAAGAGCAAAATGCATTGAATAGGCCCTTGAAAATTGGATTAACTACACTTTTTGTGAGAAATTACAACACAGTCATTTAGATTTAGATATATATTTCGTATTTAGAATGTACTTCTAAGTATGTGAATTTTCCAGGGATTATTTCTATGTACTTATATATTTTAGCTGCATTTCTGATTATCAGCCTCTGCTAACAGAAGTGGTCAAGTGATATGTGCTGTTACGAAAGGTACACAGGAAGAAATTGGGGAAAAATGAGTTTGGGAATCATCTTTATCCCAAACTATCTTTTATCATTTAGTTGGAATCAGGGATTCCTATTCTTTTTTGTAGTAGAAAACTACTTTGCTCTTTACCTAAAGACAATACTCCAGCTATGTGAGACTCGGATAGTGCCAAAAAGAGTAGTGAGCCATTTTCACTGGAGTCTGCAAGTGTGTTATTCATTGCAAATACTTGCTCTTAGAATGGTAATTACTATACCATCTTTGTGTCTGGAGGTTAAATGCTAATTTTAAACTATAAAATTTTGTTTTTATACTCTAAATTTGATTGAAAACAAATAGGATAGTAAGAGAAGTAAGAGGAAAAGAAGATTCAAGAATTGTCAAAGTGTGGAAGAAAAGAAAATGATAAAAGAAGAATGAAATTGAATGGTGAAAAGTAACTTTATTGAATTAATTAGGCTAAGTAATCATGTTAATCTGTTGTAATTTGAGACATGATTTTAAATATGTTTTTAAATTTATATATTTCTCTTTATAAATTGTTAAAATTTAGCTTTCATTTATCTTTAAAAACCTCCTGCCAAATAGATGTTGATGTTGAGTATATTTTAGTTTGATTTTGTTAAAACTCCTATCTCCCTGAAATTTCTTCAGCTTTTCACTTAAGAATTAAATTCTACCTTATTATTCTGACAACTATCAAAAAAGTTCAGTTTGTTATTAAGATACATCTTTTAAGTTCATCTGATGTTGATTTTTTTTAATAGTTTTAGCTGTTTATTAGTGGCTGATTAGGATTTGTTCTAGAGGCTAAATCCAGGTCTTTTCATGACTTAAGGTCCTATATAAAAGGCTACTTTATTTTTATTTTTTTGGTTTAATTCTAATCCGTTTGAGTTAGTAGGTGCTATGTGATTATTGTTTACGTGTTTGTTTTCTACTTATTGCTGCTCATCTCAACCCTGTTCATTGCATTCAGGGAATTTAAATCTACACTCTAAAAAACAGTGACAGTATTAATTTCTCAGCCTAGTTTGGGTTTCTGATGTTGAAATGTTTCACCCATGAGATACGAGCTTTTATCACTTAGCATGTGTGTATGTATTTATATGTATACATACACACACATACACAGTTTTATATATAGTTTTCAGTTTTTGTATTCACAGAATGGAAATGCCATATTTCCTGTGAGCAAAAGCACTCTTTGACCAAATTGCCTCATTGACTTTATGTCCTCTTCAAGCTTTTCTAATAATTAAAAAAATAAAAAAAGATGCTTGCCTTAGGTTGCTCATTAAAAACCAAATTACAGCAATAGTCTCTAGTAGTCAGTGTGATTGTTATAAAATCAGTTGTTAATTTTTTTTTCTTAAGAGATTTAGTAACAGGAATCCAGGAACATTTTTGGTTTTTAAGAATTATTAGATATAAATACGAATCTTGAAGTTGAATATAAATGACTAATTTATTATTTTATTGCAGAATAAAAACACTTGTTGTAGGGTCAGTATAATAATATTGATTTTAATTATTTTTTCTCTGCTTATTTATAGGACTGATTGTGTAGAAAAAAAAGACAGCCCTGAAGTATATTTTTGTTGCTGTGAGGGCAATATGTGTAATGAAAAGTTTTCTTATTTTCCGGAGATGGAAGTCACACAGCGTAAGTTCACAGGGAAAATACGTAGGTTTGCTCAACTGTAGATTGGAAACAAAATATATTTGTGTTGATGGAATAATTTGCCCCTACCTCTTCCCCAAAATTTGAGACTATGACAGATATTTATTATAGAATTTTGTAGACCAAATCTGAGTTATTTTTCCCCCCCTTTTCCACAGCCACTTCAAATCCAGTTACACCTAAGCCACCCTATTACAACATCCTGCTCTATTCCTTGGTGCCACTTATGTTAATTGCGGGGATTGTCATTTGTGCATTTTGGGTGTACAGGCATCACAAGATGGCCTACCCTCCTGTACTTGTTCCAACTCAAGTAAGTTATTGTCCTGTACTTTGTAGTGTTTTAAATTGTATATTTTTGAGAAATATTACTGTGGTGAAACCCACTAACTTATTACAGATTATTTTCCTTTGGAGTTAATTTTTGAATGTTTATTGTCATGAGAACTCTAGCTAACTTTGCAAACTTATTAATGTACCTACCGTGTCCTTAACTTTTCTCACTTTAGGGTTGAGGTCGAGTAGAATGAAGGGATATTCCCATTTCTATTCCTCTTTGGAGAGTTTTACTCTCATGCTAACACTAACCTGCTTTGCTTCTTGAGAAGTCATTTATGATGGAGAAGTGAAATCATAACCCTGTCTTTGCCCTCTGTCCCCTCCTCCATTTCTAGATTTCTGTGCCTTTTTCAAGACCACTTGGCAAAACATTTTATCCATGGGGATAGACTTAGGAAAGTAACCAAAAAAGTATAGAAAAGAGAGGTTTCATAAAGCCTTCAGGAAGATACCTCCATAAAGATGTTTTTGTAGGGAAGAGGAGCAGAAAAGTAACCTTTCTTACCATATGTTGTTGGTAGATCAAGTATTTTTTTTGGTTGCCTCATATCAAGTGTGTACTGAAGACTAAACACTTCTTTTAAGGCTCTTGATTGTCACACATCACACCCCAAATATTTCTGGAAATATAGGTGTGGAGAGTAATCAGATTAAATTCATTAAATTTTCTACATTCTCTTATCATGTAGACACTTTGTGCAGGTCTGGTATTTATAAGGACTTTTCATGGAAGTAGTTAGTATTCTACAGGTCTACGAAAACTGATAACTTTTGGTTTTACTTGCTTGAGACATCTCTGAATTGTAGTTTTTACTGTGTTTCTTTTAACTCTTAAGATCACATTACCTCAGCCTTCTGAATCTCTTGGTGTAACTTTGCTTCTTTAATACCAGAAGGATTAATGGTTAAAACTTGATAGAAAAAAATGGCAAAGTCCTATAATTTAATGACCAAAACAACTCCTTCCCTCTAAGCTTTATTTATATAACACATTTATTTCTCAGCGCTTGCAGCAATCTGTTAGCATTAGATCATGGATTCCCATAATCCTTGTAAGATGTGTATATAGAGAAATAAACCCAAAGGTAAAATACCATGTTCGGTAATTAGGTAAACATTATTTTGTACACCTTGAGTATTTTAACTTTTAAACAGTAGTAGCTAAGTTTGTGTTCATTAAGAATCATTTCTAAAAAGTGTTTTAAAATAAAAAGTTTTAGTACCTAGTCTATGTAGTTTACTCCAAATGGCCATAGGATACACTTTACCTTCTGTCAGTGATAACTTTTAAAAAATTTGTTTTAGTATCAAAATTTAGAAGAGAGAGTATTCAGTATTATAATAGTTTCCTCAGTTTACCAGATCTGTGATATGCTAGGAACAAGCTGGGAACCACATTTATAAATAAATTTGTTAAGGTTTTTATAGGAGGAGTTTTAAAATGTAATCTTATAGATAACACTGATCTGTATACAGTATTGTTACAAAAATGTGCTTAAAGCTTTTCTTAAAGGGCTTTATATCCTATGTATGTGGTCAGTTTTTTAAGAAAGACTAAATAATTTAAGGGTTTGGACTTTTAAAAAGGATTGATGTTATGCATAAATAAGAACCAGGGATTTTCTGTGAGTATCCGTACATCTCTGTGGGTTTTAGATATTTGTTATGGTTAAAGTTACTGTACACATTTATTTAGTACTTACATGCTCTGTCATGAGTTTATATGAATTTGTATGAATTTCTGAAAAATAAGGAAGAAATGTAAAGATTTTGTGATAAAGTCACCTGGTGTGGTCAAGCTTTGGTATGAAAAATACAAGACAGGCCTGACTTTATGCTTTCCTTCTGTCATAAACTATGTTGTGGAAAAGGGGCATTGTCATCAGTGTGGAACTTCACTTTTGTCATCTTTTGCAGTCTCTGAAGCAGTATGGTTTCGTGCTTCAAATCTTGTTTTTGCTGAGAGGTTTATGCAAACTGTTCTGCAAGACCACTTCGTGGCCATCATGTAACAAAAGGCTTAGTTTTATCTTCTATTTCAAAATAATGATAATTACATCAAGCATTTATTGAGCATTTTACAGTGTACTAGGGCACTGTTAAGTTATATTATACATAAAGATATAAATTATATGGGAACATATAAAAAGCATAAAATATTTTTTTTCAATGATTTCCAAGTTGTGAGACTGATTATCATCTTTGGAATTTGTTAAAAAATACAAATTTTGGGACCACACTCCTGAAAGTATGGAATGGGGCATGGGATGTTATGTTTTTAATAAGCTTCCCAGGCGATTCTGGTGACCAGCCAGGTATGGAAAATACTAATTTACTTTCATCTCACAGAGTTGTTTATGTAGTAAAATCTCCATTTTATAGATAGAAAAATCTGACCCAAGGACTCTTTGACACTAAAGCTTTGTTCTTATTACTTACGCTGTTCTGCCTCTTTTTTCATAAAGCACATGCCTTTTGTTTCATATAATTCAGTAAACTTTTCTGCCATCTCAAAATCATCCTGTAGGCTAATTTATTTTCCTTTTGGATATTGAATAATTTGTATGACTACTAAAATGAGGAATAACATCATCTTATGTAAACATTGTCTCACATAGGACAAAAAGAGAAGTAAAGAAGTCATAGATACATAGAAGGGCATATTCATGTGTTTTCCATTAAAAATTTCCAAAAATTCTAAAGTACATTTTGGAATAGGGTTGATGACCCTTTTTAGAATAGGGTTTATAAACATGTGATTGGGCTGTAGATAAAAATATCTGTGCTTGAGTTGATACTGCCAATTCCTATTAAGACTTTTTCGAAGGGTAGGAGAAGTAGGAGAGAGATATTTGAAGTCTTAAAGTGACTTCTGTATTTCACCCCATATTCACGTCCCCATATTTCAACTTTACATCAGTTAGGAAAAGATCTTACAGTCTTGCTGCGGATTTTTGGAACATTCTTCCTCTGGATTCTTTAAGTGCTTTTAGACAGTGCCATAACATTTGTCATTCTTTTTCTTAGGGAGACTTTTTCTCAAAGCTTTGGCTAAAGGATGGTTTGTGAATGAACTGGTCTGTTGTAAGACATTGTTCTCATTATTAGTAAGCTGGTTCTGGCAGTTAGGTGAGGGATTCTTTATGACATCAAATTGTTTAGAATTTTTCCTGGTTGTGTTAGTATTTTGTTCTGAAGAAGTGATGTAGGGGTATAAGTACTTTAAAATCTGGTCTTTCATTATGGTTCCTAGTAACCAATACAAATACAAATTCTAGAATAAATTTAGCACAGTCGAAGGCATAGAAAAAAGCAGTTTTCTGGTCGTTTTTTTTTTTTCATAAGTCCTATATTTCTGTCATTGTTTCATGGTATCACTTTATTCTTATTCATCCTGGATGAAAGCCTTGGAGACAACTATTCTTGGCTCTGTCATTTACCAAGTCCTGTTCATTCACCTTTTCATCCTGATTGATCCTATTGTAGTTCAGGACATTATTACTCCTAAGGCTAAGATTATTTCTATAATCTCAAAGTTGGCCTTCTTGCGTCCATTTCTCTCCCTTCATCTGTACTATTGCCAGAATAGCATTTTACATGTTTGATTATGTTACTTATGTGCTTAAAATATGTGTGGGCTCTCAGTGAGCCACAGCAAAGAATACAAAGTTGGAGCATGACATGTGGTCTTCCATACTCTCTTTGTCTTTTGGTACTTTCTTCCCATTACACCCCAAAACATCTGTCATATGCATCTAACATTGTATTAGTTGTAATCCTCCTTGAAAGATTTGAGAAAATAGTGCTTGGGTCATTCTTTCATTTGTCATTCATATAAATAACCCCAGTTGAGAAGGGCTCATAATGTGTTTTATTCTCCCACTAGATTGTAAGCCTCTTGAAGATGAGATATGTATTGTAATTACTGCTGTGTCTTACACAGTATTTGTATGGAATAATCATTCAGTAAGTGCTGAATTGCTAAATTGAGTTTGTTGCATTTGGAATTATACTGAGATGATAATGAAGTATGTCCAGGGATTCCTTTAATAAACATTCAGGTGCTTTAGGGCTTTGCGTTGAGAGAAATCTTGAGGCCATGATTTTGTGGGGGGCTGTAAAATAAGTTGAAGTATTTCAGGCATTTATAAGAGAATGACATTATTCAGTTCTTTCTGTAATCACAGACTGAAGCATCCTATCTGTTTTCGTTACCCAGCTCACTTTTCTTTTGCCTGTGCTGAAACTATCTTCCCACATATAGGAAGATGCTTTTATAATATGCATTGAGTAAACCGAATGCAAACTGGTTTTTCTAGTGACAGTGAGTCATGAATATGAGGGAATTGATGGACTCTATTATTAAGAAGTCTTATTGTGGTTAGAGTTAATGCAGTTTCAGTAAAATGGCGCCGCTTTCATAACCATATGTGAGCTTGTTTCCTGCTTATAAGATCTATATTTGTGCTGATAAAATACCACTTGATAAGAAATTGAATTTTAAGGGTTAGAAATGACCTACCTTTAACAAGGCACGAAGTTAGCTTCTTGTTTACTTTTAAAGGCTATATAAGTAGCACTTCAGTATTGAAAATTAATTCTTTCTTAAATAACATCAGCCTGTTCAATCTTTATGATAGTTTGTCTAGGTGTGGGTCTGATAAGGACTAAAGCTTTGGGATACCTAAATTAGGCATACAAAATAATCCTTTTGACCTTAGCATTAAAGTGATAATAGGTTGTCATTTCATGCTATGTCAGAGTGCTATTCACTGAGAAACCAAGCCATCTGTGAAAATGCTTTGTAGGATTTTCTTCTTGAACATGAGTTTATGTATTTAAAATTAATAAGAATCTGAAAGGGTAGGAAAACAGTTTTCAGCCAAGTTAATTTAGAAGAGTATACTGCTTCCTTACTGGGGGAGGGTGCAGGAGAAATTTACTAAATTTATTGAGTATTTAATATGCTAATAACAAGTTATACTTACAAAATATTACATTCATAGAAACATGTCTTGAAATAGGTTGACTACTGATTGGAGTTTATGAACACATCTCTTTCTCTTCTGCTTTTTCTCTCTTCATTTAAAATTCTCTTCTAATTAAAAAGTTAATTATAAATACATGCTTGTGGTATCAAGACAAACTGTACAGAAAGACGTATGAAAAAATAGAATCATTTTCTCCTCTTTTCCCTTTCTCTGTCACTTTCCTGAAATAATCAATTTTAACAGATTGGTGTGTATCCCTTGGCACCTTTCTTTAGCCTTATTTTTTTGAGTATATATGTTTTCTTTTTTATAAACTATAAACTATTCCACAACTGGCTTATTTTAATTTAACAGTATATGGACAGCTTTTCAGATTGATATTTTTAATCTTTTGTTTTATTATGTGTTTTTAAGTGAAATGTAATAGAGTTTTATTGTATGCTTATGAAATAGCAAAATTTGATTTTTTGGTAAAAATTTTGTATATTTAAGGTGTACAATGTGATTTTTTTTTTAAGCTTAGAGTTTGTATTAGGTTTCTGCAAAGACAGAACTCACATCTCACAAATATTTGCAACTGTATTGTTTTAGTATGTTTGAAATATGACATAATGCTGTTGTCTTAGGCGTGAGCATTCTTTTGTGTGTGTGTGTGGGTGTGTGTATGTGTATGTCTAAGAAATAGTATAGGGCTACTATAGATGTTGTTCTGTGTCCTACCTTGGTGTGTGATTATTTTTGTATTGGTAACCTAAATTACAACTTACTTTAAATATATACTTCTAATTGTGGGGAGAAGTGTCATAAGTTATCTCGACATGCAGGTTGACAAAAAAAATTACTCTCATCAGGCATATATAATTTATTCCACTTACAAATGCTCAGACAAGGCCAGTTGGAGATTGTCTAAAATTCTGTGTCCAAAAGCAAAAAGGGAGGAAGGGGAGAAAGTAGAAAATTTAAACCTTTATCAATAGCTTAAAATAAGGTAAAGTTGCACATTAAAATTAATTAGTGCACCTTATTTCTAAAAGTGACTTCTGTTTAAATTTTGAAATCTTGAGTTCAGGTTTTCTTTGGCTTGTACAGGGTCTCGTCTGTCAGTTGATTGGTGCATATGGACCAGACTATATAATTTATCCTCCTTCTCTGGCAAGGAGATGTGTATTTAGGAGGAAGTGAGTTTGTTTTTTTCCTGTGTTCTTCATTTCCTGGACCTCATCCTAGACCTTGTTCTTTCATTCCTAGTTACTTCATTGCTGTCAAATCTTTTTTTTTTAAATTAAGATAATAGAAATGAAAAACGTCCCATTGTTAGCTAAAGCTGCTTGTAGCACATGAGCTAGGAATTGTTCAGGGTTTTCATTTTTGCTTAACCGCTCACTCAATGCTTGATTGCCTATGGTGTGCCAGGCACCATGCTGTGTGTATGGTAAAAGTGGCACGAGGACAGTACTTGCTTCACCTTCTGGGGCCTACAGTTAATATGTAGGTGAAGTAACACAGGATGATTGTTTGACTGTAGCCTGGAAATGAAGGGTAAAGAGTGTAAGAAGTGAGTTGCTTCAACAATTTTAGGCAAAGACTGGAGGAAGGGAGGAAAAATGTCTATTTCCAGATCTGTACTGATTGGGAGAGGAGCCACATGTGGGTGCCTAGCTAATGCTAAGTGCTCAGTAAGTATTCACTGTTATTGGTGTTAGAGTAACAGCTTCAAAATTGAACTCAAACAGAATCATTTTTACTGAAATTATTGTTGATATATGTTAATACTTTGAAATTAACTTGGTGTAATAAAAGATTCATTTTGAGTATTATATCAGGCACTATACAGATCACTTTACACATATTAACTCATTTAATTTGTTAGTACCATGGGGTTCTGTCCTGTTTATCAAGTCCATTTTTTTTTTTTTTTTTTTTTAACTTTAAATTCTGGGATACATGTGCAGAACATGCAGGTTTGTTACATAGGTATATCTGTGCCATGGTGGTATGCTGCACCTATCAACCCGTCAGCTAGGTTTTAAGCCCCACATGCATTAACTATTTGTCCTGATGCTCCCCTTCCCTTGTTCCCCTGCCCCTTGACAGGCCCCAGTGTACGTTGTTCACCTCCCTGTGTCCATGTGTTCTCATTGTTCTACTCCCACTTATGAGTGAGAACATGTGGTGTTTGGGTTTCTGTTCCTGGGTTAGTTTGCTGAGGATTATGGCTTCCAGCTTCATCCATGTCCCTGCAAAGGACATGATCTCATTCCTTTTTATGGCTGCATAGTATTCCATGGTATACATGTACCACATTTTCTTTATCCAGTCTATCATTGATGGGCATTTGGGTTGGTTCCATGTCTTTGCTGTTGTGAATAGTGCTGCAGTAAATATACGTGTGCATGTGTCTTTATAATAGAATGATTTATATTCCTTTGGGTATATACCCAGTAATGGGATTGCTGGGTCAAATGGTATTTCTGGTTCTAGATCCTTGAGGAATCACCACACTGTCTTCTACTATGGTTGAACTAATTTACATTCCCACCAACAATGTGAAAGTGTTCCCATTTCTCCACAGCCTCGCCAGCACCTGTTGTTTCTTGACTTTTTAATAATCAGCCATTCTGACTGTTGTGAGATGCTATCTCATTGTAGTTTTGAAGTCCGTTTTATAGATAAGAAAATTGAGGCATTCATAGATGAAGTGACTTGGCTTAGAGTCACCCTAGTGGGTGGCAAAGCCTGGGCATTTATATCCAAGGATTATTGCCCATTGATTGAATGGCTTATTTCAGTAAATAATTAAGTGGAGTCCATAAAAAAACCAAAGCAGGGGCTGGGTGTGGTGGCTCAGACCTGTAATCCCAGCACTTTAGGAGGCCGAGGTGGGTGGATCACCTGAGGTCAGGAGTTTGAGACCAGCCTGGCCAACATGGGAAAACAACATGGGGAAACCCCATCTCTACTAAAAATACAAAAATTAGCCAGGCATGGTGGTGCACACCTGTAATCCCAGCTACTTCGGAGGCTGAGGTGGGAGAATTGCTTGAACCTGGGAGGCGGAGCTTGCAGTGAGCCGAGACCATGCTACTGCACTCTAGCCTGGGTGACAGAGCAAGACTCTGTTTCAAAAAAAAAAAAAAAAGAAAAAAAAGAAAAAAAAAGCAAAGTAGGATAAAGAGATCAAAGTATATAAACTACATTTAAAATAGTTTTCATAGTGACTATATGTGGCCTTGTAGATAACCATTTTACCATCTCACAATTTATTCATGTGTAACATGGTTTATTTTCTGGTTTTTTCAGCTACACTTGCAGAATACAGATATGAAAATAAATCAAAATAAACTTCTGTAGCCAGTCATAAAACCTGATTCTTTTAAGCATCAACCCCAAAAAGAGAATGGGCATACCTACGTTTTTTTCAGACTTTTAACTCCAGTGCTGGCTACCTTGAGGTGCTCTACTTCTTAGGGAACATATCCAGAATCTTCATTTCACCTGCCTTGGCCTTTCTTTGCTTTCCTTTCAAGAGGAGTAAGATGAGAGAAACTGTAGGAAGTAGGAATTATCACAGAGGAATTTTGACGATCTAATTGGCTGGAATCATTGCTGTGCAATTGACATGTCAATACTGTTGAATCTCTTAATGTATGTCTTGCTTTCCTTAGTTCAGAAACATTGTCCTCGCATATACTGTATTATTTATAAATTCTGTTTCTATTCTGCTTGGCAGGATAGTCTTTTTAAAATTTAAAATGGTAAAATTTCTTAGAATGTAAAATAATTAGTTGATATTAAGAGGAAACAAATTCAGAATTTGTCAGTTTTCATATAGTTTGGATAGGAGGACCTTAATTCGTCTTGGTAGTCCTAAAAAGTTGTTGAGTGAGGTATCTCCACTCCCAGAAAAAAATCAGTCTCTCTCTCTCTAGATACAGAGATACAGATATTTCTTGGAATGGTTTGAATAGTAAATAAAAGAAATCTTATAACACATATCATATATACATATTTATAGTATATAAACAAAAATCTCTATTTTCTGGAAAGATTTTTTGTATTCCAGATCTGTGTATGTGTTTACTAAATATCTCCATTTATATGTCTCCAAGCACTTACCATTCACAGGTAGTGATTGTCTCTCACAAACCTGGTTCTCAGTAAATGGAACCACTGTCCATTTGGTTGCATAAGCCAGGAAACTAGGATGTCTCAACTCTGTTTTTCACCTTAACTGCTTCTCCCTAGTACTTACTCCATTTTTCAAGGGTGTTCTCCACAGGGAAATCTTCTCAGACTTTACCTGTCATTATAAGTCAGGTTTCTCTTTACAGATGTTGAAGGTACTGAATTCCTTTTTATTAGTGTGAATTGTTGATTAGTCCTTCTGTCCTGCACTGCTGCAAGCTTCATGAGAGCCTGGCTAGTCAGTGCCTGGCACAGACTAGTTACTCAGTAAAATTTGTTGGATGAATGAATGAATGAATGAATGAACTATTCTTCATTCTTTTCTGATATTTGGCAGTAGTTTTTTTTCCACCTCAGGGAGAAGCAACAAATCTTTTTCTCACCTACAAACCTAATAGCTTGATATTAATGTGCAGATTCGATTTTCACCGTTACCTACAGTTATAGTATATAATAGTCAAGCTACATTTTCTATGTTGTGAATCCAGAGTTTTGTTTGCTTTTTGCTTAGTTGTATATTTTAGTGCATTTTATTTTGCTTTATTTTTATTTTTGGAGATGAGGTATCACTCTGTCACCCAGGCGGGAATGCAGTGGCATGATCACAGCCCACTGCAGCCTCAATCTCCCAGGCTCAAGATGTCTTCCCTCCTCAGACATCCGAGTAGCTGGGACCACAGGCATATGCAACCACGCCCAGCTAATTTTTAAAAAATTTTTTTGTAGAGAAGGGATCTCCCTGTGTTGCCTAGGCTGGTCTCGAACTCCTGAGCTCAAAGATCCTCCTGCCTTGGCCTCCCAAAATGCAGAGATTATAGGTATGAGCTATCACACCTGGCCTTTAAAAAAATTTTGCTTTACCGCTCTTATTTTGTCATGTAGTTTATACATTGAGGACTGTTGCTGGTGTCTCTTGTTTGTTTATTCTAATCCTCATTTATTGAGAAGTGTATTAAGCAAACATATGTGGTTATTTTGTATTTATTCATGTACTTAAGTGAATGTATTTTTTTGTTCCGTTTTTACCCTTCATATTTTGTTGCATAGTTGATATTTTGAGGCTTGTTCTTGGTGTCAGTTTGGGTTATTTTATAGCTTATCCTAATGTTCATTTCTTGGGAAATGTATTGGGCAGAGACATACTTTTTGGTAAGATGTATGGATAGCACCTACTTGCACAGTGCTAGTATAGTGTCATCTTTATAGTGTCATCTTTATCTCTGAAAACACCTGTATTTAAACAAGATCTGAGAGATCCTTGAGCCTTTGGAAACCATAGTCTACTTATTCAGTTGGCATGTATTTCTTTCAAGGGATTAATTTTACTCTGGAGTACTGGATAAGATGTTTTGATAGTAGGATTATCTCAGCCTTTTGGATGAATTATAAATACTCTTGAATCATTATCACAGGAAGAAAATCTAGAAGGAAGAAAACTAGTTAAGCAACTGGTACAGATAAATGAGTTGTCCATTCTGTTTTGTCAGTGCTATTGTTCTCTATAGAAATATTGGAAACTGGGGAACATAGCCATCATCCATTGGAGGAATTCTCAGCCTTCCCTACCACTGGTGATCATATTTCTTTTAATTTTAAATTTAGACCCTTACCTATTTTGGGATGACTGGAAAAATGAAAATCCTGTTCTCTATCAGTGTCTGAGTGTCTTTAGAATGTGAGATGTGTGATTACTTGTTCCCAGGGCCACCTCTGCTTAACTGCTTCACCTTGATGTGCTGGGCAAGTAGGTTTGATAATATTCTGTCACTATGTTTTACTTAATTCTGATGATCTTGTTTTCCTGTCTTAGTTTCTTGCCATGGTGTATTATGGTGCACGCACATAGCCACCAGAAACATTTTTCTGTCTCACCATTATGATTCTGTCTTCCATGAAAGGGAAGTGAGGCAGTTCAGGAAATAGGAAATTCTAGAGGTTCTTAAGACAACTATCAGAAAGTCTGAGAAACTGATTTCTAGCTATATATAAATTTGTTAGGGCTGCTAGCTCGTTTTTGCTAAAGGCAATACTGCCCTCTAGTGTCGAGAAGGCAATTCCAATTTGTAAATTCCTTGTTTTATAATTTAGACTCTAGAGGCTCTTAGAAAAATAAATAATCATTATTTAAGACTTGATTTAGTTTGTTTGCAGGCATGAAGTCATTGGATCAGTTAACTTGGGATTAAACTGGAGTCAAGAATTTGTTTACCACCTATCTCTCATATCTAAGGGGTTCTTTTTGATATTACTTTCCTCTGTTTGTAAGGAAAGTGTTCCCTATCTTTATTTAAACAATGTAAAACTTTGGATCATTGCCAACTTTTAAAATACTAAACCATTATTCTCTTTCCTTCACTTTTGTAACTGATGTGTCATTTTTCATTTCATTCTGGATATGAATCGTAATTTCTTTTGCCTGTGTTTTTTCTTCACAAGCACGCCTTTCATATAATGATAGAGGTAAGATGCATTGATGTTTGTTTTATGGTTGTGGAACTTTCTGTGGATGCATACTAAACATTTTGTTCTTAGATTTTTGTTGTTGTTACTGCTTTACTGTGCATCCTCTATAATTTATATATTTATGTCATAAAGGGTTCTCCCTCACCCAGCTTTTATAATTAAAATGTGATTGATTTGACTTAGGAATGGCTTTTAGTTTTAAGAGACTGAGAGTATTTATATTTATTTAAGGTAGGATGTAGAAAAAACCGTTTTACTTGATTAGAAGTTAACACCTTAACGGCTCCATTCGCCTCAAAAACCTTGTATTGGTTAATTTTTATATGTCATTAGCTTAAATGTCAGCATGTGTTCATTTTTAACAGGGGTCGATTTTCTAATCCAGCCCATTGTATTTAAATGTGAAATAGATATTTTTAGATAGCTTCATCTTTGGCATCTTTAGCAAATGAACTAGCTACAGGAGTATAACTTTTGATGATATTTTGCTATCTGAGGTTTAAGCGTTTAATTAGATTAAAATTCACCCTTCAAATGGAGAACTCAGAATAAGTAAAATGATCAGAGATGACTTTGTAGCTTCCCACCTCTAATAATTTATTCCACTGTTGGTTATAGTAATGATATTGGGTAGTGGTTTGGGGGCAGGAGATTACTTTTTACCAGGTTATCATTTCAGTATGTGTTCTGAAGCTGATGTCTTCTGATACCATAATTTTTACATATAAATGAGTAAAGAAGAAATGTAATCAGAACTGTGTTTGAATGCATATCTTTTTAGTTTTGCAAAATAGCATGGATGTTGTAAGAGAACTGGAAATTTAGGGAAGTTTTTAGGAATTCTGAAATCCTTCTAGGTGCCTCTCAGCTCCCCATTGGTTTCTCTATGTAGCCAGGTAAAGCCATATTTTGTGTATGACATCAGAAATTGCTTGTCATTTTGAAATTTATGTCTACATTTGTCTTCCCAGGGGCTCATATATTTTAAAGGTATACATTTTTATTTTTAGAATCAAGTATTGATTTTTTTGTGAATAAATTACTATAATGATGCCAATTAATTGAAAATCATTTCTACTATTATAGGATGAGTGAAACTTACAGATGAATTTAAAGTTTCATTCTAGTAATTTTTTATTTAAAAAGGATTAGAGATTTTATAATCTGTCCTACAGTTATCATTTTTGAACCCAATCCTTTGTGTATTAAAGAATATTATTTAAAATTCCATTTTTGAAAAGCTCATGTCATTGCTAAAGGTTTTGAGATTCTACAGGAAGACCTTGTAGACCTTTTTGTCACCCTTTCGAAATTGACCAGTATTCTTTCTAATTGAAGCTTTTACCTTTTAAGTAATTTTGACAACAATATTTGTTCTGGCTGTTACTATACAATATTGAATAAATTATAGTAGGAGGGTGATCTAAGATTATTTCTTTCTGAAATAATGATAGCTTAGAAACTTGTTAAACAGAGCCTTGGGAATGTATGGGAACTTGAAGTATATGCATTTGGAAAACATTTAATGAACTTTTTTTTTTAATGTAGATATTAAAAATTATTTTTTCTAAAATTAATGTTATACTAAAATCATAGTTTGAATTGCTGACATATTAATTGTGGATTAAATAATCTATATCTTACAGACTGAATCATATTCATGTTGTTGATGTCCTTTAGAACAGAGAATGGGTAATGTGTAGATTAACTATAGAGACATTACCAGTGTACATAAAAGCTATTAAAAATCTTAATATTGTAATTTAGCACTGTATTCCCTCTACCTAGTTATTTTTCCTCTTCAGCTTTCAGCCATTTTCTGTATACTTTAGTTTTTAGTTTTTGGCATCCCCTCTGGTTTGAAACCTATCTCTCTACCTTTCTAACATTTTCTATTTAGTTTAAATATGTCTTTATGCAGTTATACAATAACTCTTTGCCCTTGAGGACTGAATGGTTTCCTTTCCTGTAGAAGAGTTGTTTTCAAGCTTTTTTTCTCTTGTCTCCACATTCATATAAGCAGTCTGCTCTGATCAGTAGAATTTCTCGGATAGAGGTGATCACTTGAAGAATGAGGGAGGGAGGGTGTAGTTTTTAATAAAAACTCTCTAGAGGTTCTTGTGTCCCCTCCACTGAGAATCACACTTGAGAGCCCATCCTTCCTATAAGATTTATATCTGACCTCCTTGACCCGTCACTCTGCTAAACAGAAACGTTCTTTCATGTTTTGAATGTGGGAAGGACAAGCAACTTGTAGACAAAAAAAAAAAAAAAAAAAAAAAAAAAAAGTCTGAGTTTGAAATGAGTCACAAGAAGTCTTTTGTTTTATCTTACTGTTTAAACAGGAATTCTAAAGCCATTTTATAAAGATGGTTTCATTTAGAAGAAGAAATTGCATGTTTTTCCTACATAACACCTTGCAATGTTTCTGTTGCTGAGGTTCTTTCTAGTACACAGTAAACTTTTAAAACTCCTGAGTGGCACCAGTGAGCTGAGTGATGCCTAAAGAAAGCACTAACTGTCTTTGAGGCATTAGAAGAAGAGAGAAAAAGAAAGGCAGAGAGGATGCATTGATCTGGGATCACATACCATTTCCAAGTGTCTGAGGTGCCACCCAGTGTCATCATATCAGTTGCTTTTGCCACAGAAATTTTAGTTCCTCCTCAAAATACTCATTATGCAGCCCTCCAAACCCTTCTGTTGCTTTTCTCTGGAAGCTTTCCAAAAGGCTTCCTGCATCTTGCTTTAGTTGCAGATAGGGAACTGAGAGAATGCTTTCAATGGAGGGTTGCATTCTGCTTTGATAGGATTTCCTTGTGATTTGTAGATGCTGTATTCCTATTTATATATTATGTTTGCTCTATTTTTAAAAAACTATAGCAGTGCACGTTTCTTTCATTTACCATATCCTGTTATCTACTATGATGACCACTTCTTTTCTGGATTTTTATTCGTACTTCTTTGCCAGTCAGTCAGTTCCAGAACACAAATGATTTTTTATCTCAGATCAAAGGGATGAATTGTTAATATGTTTAAAATTAGAATGAACCAGTTTGGTTAAAGAAATATTTACTTACATATTTCCTGTATGTGCTTTGTATTTGATATACCTATCTGCAATGTGTTTAAGAATGACTGCCGGTATCTCTGAGATTAATGAAGAAAAAATTTAAACAGTCACTGGAGAAAGTAATAGATCTTCAGGAGAGGTTTTTGCTGATATATAGTCATAATTTGCTGTTTCTGGCACTTTTCAAATCATCCTCCTCGAAGTACACACTGGATGAAACAAATGAAATATTGTTAGGAGTATTTCGTAGTTCACAGAAAATCTTAGTGGGGAATATTACTGAGACTGATCAGAAAGATTTTAGATCTTCTCTCCTGTGGTACATATATAGCAATAATGCTGAACATTATTATGAAACTCTGAATTCAGGTTGCCTGCCTTGTGATCACTATAGATAATTAGTAATCTAATTATGGCAACATTGAAGTTAATGTCATTCATATGTGTTTACTGTTTCTGTCAGTTGACTTTTCAGTATACTCACTTTTTTTCTCATTTTCAGAGTTGGTGTGTGTCATGTTCTGCTTATTTATAGTATTATTATTATTTATCTGTAGGACCCAGGACCACCCCCACCTTCTCCATTACTAGGTTTGAAACCACTGCAGTTATTAGAAGTGAAAGCAAGGGGAAGATTTGGTTGTGTCTGGAAAGCCCAGTTGCTTAACGAATATGTGGCTGTCAAAATATTTCCAATACAGGTATGTTTATTGCAGTTTTGTCATCTTACATACATGTTTTATGGCTAGGTCATCATAACTCAGAAATAGTCTCAAAACAGAAGCCATATGTACCAAGGTGGTTCTTTGTGATACTGGGGAAAGCAGTTAGCTCTTTTAATGCCTGCCTTTGCATCTGAGAAATGGAATTGTTAATATAACAATCATTATGTTTGTCTGGAGTGGTGGAATTAAATGAATGCATAGTAGATCTTTTGCCAGTGAAAATTCTAATAGAAATGTTAAATAAAGATAAAGATTCCAATAAACAAGTCTAATTGAGTGGTTAAATTTTAATATCCCCCTACGTTGTCAGAGAAAGCAAACAAAAAAACAAAAGAGCAGTATACTTTGTTTTAGAATTGGTATTTAGAGGTATATCACCAGACTTGACTTACTTTCATTCTACTTTGAGTGTTTAATTATTTCAGTTTTTGTTTGATGCATTTTCAGAGGCAATCGAGACTTCAAATAATTGGTTTACTGTTGAATTGTTTTTAAGGTTGGCTGGACTTCTCATAAAACTCTGATCTAATGTACCTCTGAGCTATTCTTGTGTTTTGTTTTGTTCCGTTGGTGGTATAGATTTATGATGATTCTGTCTTCCCCATCTCTTGCTTATATACCCTGGCAGCTCATGATACCCTTGGTACTGACGTCTTGGCTGGATTTGGTGTTGCAGGCTCTACCACCATACTTAGAGAGTGGATGTTTCTTTTTCCAAAGTTATCATATAAGCAGTTTCTTTGTCTTAATATACCTAGATTTTAACCTTTTTACCTCCTCTGTTCAATCTTACCTCCTCTGTTCAGTCTATAAACTGTTTACATAGAGTTTATGAACTGTATTACATTTTTTTTTGGTAGCTGTAAACCACAGTTTAGTTTTCAGAGAGAAAGTGTATTCTGTTGTGCCAAGATTCATAAATAAGATAAGGGAAGAAATTATTTCCATGTGTAAGGAAGCATAAAGCTCAGAGAAAGGCATTTGGATGATATTAACAAGCCCGACAACAGCAACAACAGTAGCTAACATTTTATTGTATGCTTTTATTGGGTCAGGTAGGGGTGTTTTACATATATGAGTACTCACTAATATGTGTACGTATATTACCCACATGTACATAAAATGCAACATATAATACAACAATTCTATAAGACAGACACTACAATGCCTTTTCTACTTAATGAGGACACTGAAGGATTATGTAACTTGCCAGAGGTTAGTGGGAGAGCCAGGATTTAAGTTTGGACAGTTTGGATGCAGAGAGTTTCTAAGGGTTTCTAACCATTATGCCATAGTGCCTCTTACTATTATTGTCTTTTAGTAGTGAAAAGAAGCTAATCTTTTATAAGTAGATACTTAGTAGACATGGATTGCTTGCAGGCACAAGTGAATATATGGTGTCTTAAATTATTGCATTGCATATCTTTGCCCCTTGCTTTCTCATAGACCTTGTAGGGTATGCTAAACATTTTTTGAAGGATGTTTGATATTATGTTAGTTTTTGAAAAGAAGAAGTTTTCTATTTAGAGGAAGTCATTCTGCCGGAATTTCATCTTTCAAGGAGATTATTCTGAATAGTACCACAAGTAACTTCACACCATGATGAAATTACAGTGTAATACTTGCAGTAACTTACGTGTTGCCATTGTAAGACACAGAATGCAGCATTTCCGATCACCTTCTGTGTTTGTAAACTAGAAACACAGAAAAGTACGTTTTGAGGGAATGAAAAGGGCAGGCATTTAGTATAAATTTGTTAACCTATTGTCAGAGCTTTTTCTTATTACAAAACAGAACAAAAAATTTTTTAAGACTTTTTTGTTTTGTTTTGTTTTACTTTGGAACTTATTTGAGTAATCTCTTATGCATGGTTTATTAAACCTGTATTCCTTGTGTTCTTACTATTCTTTCTTTTTGACTCTAGGACAAACAGTCATGGCAAAATGAATACGAAGTCTACAGTTTGCCTGGAATGAAGCATGAGAACATATTACAGTTCATTGGTGCAGAAAAACGAGGCACCAGTGTTGATGTGGATCTTTGGCTGATCACAGCATTTCATGAAAAGGTAAAACTACTTAACGTTTTACTTTAGTAAAGTCTGAGTTGGCCTGCCTACCTAATGCTGGCTATAAATCCCTCAGAGTTATTTTTCGAGACATCTTATAGTTGATTAATATTTAACCTGAAAATAAAAATCATTCTTGAATAAAAATGTTTTAAAAGGTAGTTTATTTTAATAAAAGAGCAAAGATGGCAACTTTTTAACCTAAAACTCTACTCATATAAACCACCCTTTTGTTCCTTATTTCTTGTGCTGTAATTACTCTTACAAACATTTATTTTAGTGTAGGTAATGCTTAGTAATTTTCATTTACCATTTACAATTCATTTTGATTACGTGAACCATTTTTTTAAGTTTTAATCAGTCTTGCTTGTGACAAAACCAGAGTCAGGAAATTTATCTGATCTTTGATCTGTCACTAACTTGCAGGGTAATTATCACCAAAATGTAATTGCTAGTTTTCCTCAATTTTTCTACTTTTAGAGTCAGTGTGAAAGTACCATTAATGAAGTAGGAAATTATGTTTTTGGTAATTGGTTTCATCATTGTGAAATGTAAGTGGTTCTTTTACTTCTCTTATCTTGACCTAAAGGACAACAATAATCTAGAGGAATATTCTACATATTAGTTGTTATTTTATGTTGTTATTTTGTGTTCTGCTAGTCCCATGATATAACAACTCTATAGTCAGGATATTTTAACTTTTAAAATATTTTCTAGAACCTTAGATTTTCAACTAGTCTTTAAAAAAAAAAAAAAACAAACTTGTCTTATAGATTGGTGGAAGTTGACTATTCTTGTAACAAAAGTTTAAAGCTCTGGTATTTCCTTCTGGTCAAATGTTTATTAATGTGAAATGGAAGGAAATTTGAACCATTTGAACCATTCCAGAAAGATTGTTTCTTGGATATTATTTTTCCCTGAAAGGGAAACTCACAACCTCTTATAGGTAAAAAGAAAAGTCTCCTTATACATATGGCCTTTGTCAAGAACATAAGTTTCTTTTTTTCCCTCTTTTTTTAGGGTTCACTATCAGACTTTCTTAAGGCTAATGTGGTCTCTTGGAATGAACTGTGTCATATTGCAGAAACCATGGCTAGAGGATTGGCATATTTACATGAGGATATACCTGGCCTAAAAGATGGCCACAAACCTGCCATATCTCACAGGTAGACTAAATTTATATTGTTTTCCCAGATAATTGAGTATATATTTACTAAACTTTTAAGCCCCTGGGTAAATTTTAATTTTTCCTTTGTTATGCAATCATGCTTTACAAGACAGTCAGTTTTCATTTGTTTTTTAAAATTAGCTTTGAGATTGGCCAGGAAGTATTTTGGATAATGTATATGTTAACATTATTGGTAAAGTTTAATGATCTACTTCATCTCATTTCTGAAAGCATGATTGAAAATAAACTATATTTTCTCGATCTCAAAGGAAAAAGACATTTGTTTTACCTCAAAACATGATTTATCAATAGGGATTATTATCCAAGGGCATGTAATGAAGGAGAGACTTTGAATGTCTTCCTTGCTTGTTTTTTGAATGACCTTATCTGTACCCTGAGCCAAGTCTTAAAGGGAGGCATCACTTAAAACAGTTGTCCAGTGAAGAAATACTACTTAGACCCAACAGTTGTCATGCCCGCAAAAGGAAAAATGATTGTGTCTTAAACATGGAATTCAGTTTGCCATGTATTTAATTTTCTTGAACGTGGGATTCAATTTGTTGTCTTGTGTTCCATTTAAAGATGGTTGTTTGAAAAGTAGGCATTAACTGATTCACAGAACAGATACTTAGCTGAGTGCCACCAGGCGATGTTTTAGGTTGCTGGGAGGCATTATTGTAAGTCAGCCTCTAATTTAGGTTCTGATTTTGCAAACTTTAAATGACGTCTACCTCAGAAATAACTCTTCTCACTTTCTTACATGCAGTCTATTGGCCTCGTCTTCGATTTTCCCTTGCCCTACCTGGTCACATAGGGAATTAATCCTTAAGGACCCCCAAAGTTATTAAGGGCCTGAAAGTCTTTTGAAACTAAGATCGATTAGCTTTTATAGCATTTGGGAGTGTCTGCTTGTGCTTTCAGTATCCCATTATTGGTCTATATGTCTGCACATAAATTTAACCACTAGTCATTGGCATAGATGTATTTAACTAGGGTATAGTAATCTCTAGGATGAGCCAGTTGAGACAGGTGTGTAGAAGAGGATATCTTACTGCCTTAAAACTGTTACCCTTTTCAGAACACCAGGATCTAGCTAGAGCAGTGTATGTTTATGGTAAAAAGTTTCTGTTATTCATTCCATAAGATGCTTTTCTACAACCAGGTGGAAGAATATAAGAACCTCTATAATAAGGGATTATTCTAAAATGTAGGTCTCTACCAATAAGCAGAAGGCCCCAATTCAGCTATTTTTTAAAAGTTTCTTCATTTTGGTTTAAAATTTCTGTTTCTATGGGAGTTTGCAAATCAGAACTCTGAGATATTAACAGTAGTTTTATGATTGGTAGGTGGGTGACATAGATAACATATCTTTTTGGTATGGCAGATTTTTATATAACTGCTTTATAGGTAGGATTCCTTCTTATTGTCCATGTTATGAATAGGGGTTTGTCACCGTGCTCTTGTGTTTAAGGCTGCATGGGGCTCTGAGCTTTGTTTGTCTCACTTTCTCTGCATTTCATAATTTTAAGTAACTATTTTTTCATAGTGTACATATTCCCCCTTTTCTGCTTTCAATAAAAAATTTAAAAAGGTAACTAGTTTAAACTTAATTTGAATACTCTTTTTATTTGCAAGGGACATCAAAAGTAAAAATGTGCTGTTGAAAAACAACCTGACAGCTTGCATTGCTGACTTTGGGTTGGCCTTAAAATTTGAGGCTGGCAAGTCTGCAGGCGATACCCATGGACAGGTAAGGATGATGATTATAAAATGTAAGAAAAAATAAACTTGTTCCATATTTTCTTAGAATGGCATGTCAGGACTGAATTAGTCTAAAATTGTTGTGGTGTTTAAATCAGCATCTAATAGAGTTATCAAAGTTTCTGAGGAAGACATTTTCATATGATGGTAGAGGACTCAGGTGGTTTAGATCAAGCACTTCGTAAAGCAACCCTTAGACACACGTCATAGGATTCTTTTTGAAAAATTGATCAAAGAATAATCCACCACCTTTTAACAGACCTCATTCTTAGGGAATTCTTCGTATGAACTCCGTAGTTTTAGTCTGTTAGTTCTTTCACCATCTTAAGAAGAGTGGAAGAATAATTAGTCACTGTCCTTACTACAGTGTATTAAGATTTCCTGTCCATTTTCCCATGCAATAATAGTTTATTGCTTCTTGTTGTTTATTGCTTCATTAATTTCTTTAATCAACTTGATGGCTTTTCTCCAAATTCTCTCCAGAGTTCAGAGCACTTGTAAACCCCTGAATTAGGTAACTCTTCACACCTCTGTATATATCCATATGCACAGAAATCTTAGTAATGGGAACCTCTAGGAAGGCCAAAAGGGAAAAGAACATTATCCATACAGTTTATTCTCAGAAACTTTGAGGCTGGAAAAGATGTTTTCATTCCTGCAAGATCACCTTTTATTTTTATTTATTTATTTATTTTTGAGACAGAGTCTCGCTCTGTCACCCAGGCTGGAGTGCAGTGGCATGATCTTGGCTCACTGCAGCCTCTGCCTTCCAAGTTCAAGTGATTCTCCTGGCTCAGCTTCCTGAGTAGCTGGGATTACACACATGCACCACCATGCCCAGCCTAATGTTTGTATTTTTAATGGAGATGGGGTTTCACCAAGTTGGCCAGGCTTGTATCGAGCTCCTGACCTCAAGTGATCCTCCCACCTCGGCCTCCCAAAGTGCTGGGATTATAGGCGTGAGCCACCACGCCCAGCCAAGATCACCTTTTAATCAGGGAAACCAGTTCAACCTAAAAGGTGACATTTTCTACAAAGCTAAATGGTTCAGGCCTTCGACATTATCATTTCTTCATCTTTCATATCATGTAAATTATTTGGCCAACTAATTCTTAGGTTTCTTTTCCCCAGCATATCCTATTGGTTCCTGAGGACACGTTTTTAATGTCATGGCACCACCAATTTTGGCAGTATTGACTAACTATTTAAGAATGTAGTTTGGGGTAATGGTCAGTAGCCATATAGCTCTAGAAAAGTTGACTGCAAATGTGTATGGGAATGGAGGCAATTTTGTGGAGAATACTACCAAGATTGTGTAGGAAGCCTGAGGACAAACTTCTAAGCTAATTGAATGATAGACTATCATAAGACTAAATTCTGGGAACATATTCTTAATTTGGTACCTCATAAGCCCTCCCTCATTTTTTGAGAAAAAAAATTTCTGACTCATTCATGTCATATTTTTAACTCCTTCACAACTGGGTTTTATGATTAGTTAAAAATTATTGGCTTACAGTAATGACTCCTTGACTTTAGATTTCATGGACCAGAAAATTTCAGAAATATTTGGAGGGACTTGCATGTTATTGCACATTTTATATAGTACAAAGAACACATATAAAAGAGGGAACATTTTATGTCAACATGGTAAATAAACCATAATCTTACAATAAAAGAGGTAGGTACCTTGGATGGCATACATTTACCTGTAAGAGAAAAGTAGGCTTTAGGGAAACATTCACTGATAGCACAATTAAAATAATTATTCTGAGTAGTAAATTTTTTAAAAGTAGAGCCACTTTTCCCTTTAATGTGTTCTCCTTGAACTTTAGTCTTAGTGATCTGTCTTTATTCTTAAAAAAAATCTTTACATGTATATTTGCATAAATTGCCCAACTTTTAGTCTAGAGTAGAGATTATAGCCACCTAAGGATGGAGCGTTATGGACGTACCAATATCTAGACTACTCTCTAGTTCGAATACATCGCAAGTATGTTGTGATGTACCCAGCTATCTCACAAATATTTTTAAGCATTCATATATGAATGTTGTCAAGCACCAACCAAAGCTAGCTGTACTAGCTTAGTAACCATAGTTACAGTACTAAGAAATACCAAATTGTTGGGGACAGTTATAAATAAAGGACTCCAAGACAGAAGAATTTATGAATAAACAAATACATAGATTTTGTACAGATAGAACTTTTTAACATCAGTCTGTCCTTTACTTAGCTAATTCTTTTTATAACATTTTATTAGTTTTTTTAATACAGAGAAAAGACCTCAAAAAAAGTTTTTTTTTTAAAGCTACATTTCAAACAGTATGCAAAGGTACAGTTGAAAAGTATGCAGCATCCTTCTCCCAGCTGACAATTGGTTCAGTTTCTTGTGATTACATCCAGAAAGGGGAACATAAAAACTTCTAAGTCTGTACCAGCATAATGTCTGTTGATATATTTTTTAAGTATACGCAGAAAGGATCTTTCTATTTATACGCTATAGTGTGTATACCTTACCCTGGTAATAGACCACATTTGGTTTTGATTCATCTTACAAAATCATATGTTAGTTCATAAAGTTAATGAATGAGTACTCTTTGCTTTTAACATCTTTTTCAGGTTGGTACCCGGAGGTACATGGCTCCAGAGGTATTAGAGGGTGCTATAAACTTCCAAAGGGATGCATTTTTGAGGATAGATATGTATGCCATGGGATTAGTCCTATGGGAACTGGCTTCTCGCTGTACTGCTGCAGATGGTAAGGGAAAAAAATATTTTTAAAAAAGATATATATGCCTACCACACATATATGAAAAGGGATGATACACTCCAAGGTAATATTTTAAAGTACAGTTTTTTTTTAATTGACTCCAAGAGATGGTAGAGAATTCAGGAGGCAGGGGAGCAGTGGGTGGGGTAGGAGAGGAAAGGAATTGCTATGTATTGATCCTTTACCATTACTAGCTATGTTGCTGGACACTTCACATACCTTAAGGTTATTTCCTAAAACGGTTTCAGAGGTAGTTATTATGCTTTACATATGAGGAAATTGAGATGCAGAGAAATTAAGTAGTTTGCCTACTTTAGCCTCAAACTGGTGAATGATGAAACCTAGATTTGAAACTCTGATCCAGACATAGGGAGAGGTCTGCTTTAAGGTCATATGGGTCCTGCCCCCCAGGTTAAAGGGTTTCTATTACTTGTTCTTGTTATTGAAGTCCATGTTCAAGTCTTATAGATATTTGCTTTTATTTATTTATTTTTCTGGGTAAATTTTCAGACGATATTTCCAGTGTGACAGAACTATTTTAGTGTTTCAAGCACTGTCTTTAGTACTCCTTCATAAGGTCTTTACTCTGTCTTCAAGTATGTTGCAGCATTTTTTGTTTTGAATAATATAAGGCAAACTTGCCGACTGCTAAACTCCTAAACAGATGTAAATGAGCTTGATCTGTTTCTTAAGTTCTAATTTATAATTGCCTAAAAACTTCCTGTGATTGTCAAAGACCATAGAAGAAATTGTGAATATTTTAAGTTATAACCAATGTAACCTATGTTACTAACAATATTTTATTTTCTGAGTACTGTAATAGGCTCTCGTTGTAGGACAGACTGCCACTGGAATATGAAATTCAATATAGGGTACTATTAAAGGGAATTTAATAGAGTGTTCAGAAATGGGCATTCTTCCAGGATTGAGGGATTGGCTTGGGAGTCAATGCCAAACCTAAGAAAAGTTGAAGCAATTTTGGAATAATTTCAGAAGTCTTTAGGAAGAAGCGTTAAGAACGCAGAGTGTTTTGACTCTAAGAGGAATGACATTTATGATGTGCATTTATGGAAGCAGAAGTAGGTTAGATGGCAGATGTTATAGGAAAATATATTTTATAAGAACTTTATTAATATGAACTCTCCATAACAAATCATTGGATTAAGTAATTTAGGAGACACAAGACCTTATTCTCAAGTAATATACAGTTTAGTTAGGGCAATAAAATATATCCTGGACAATTAACTCTAGAGTAAGTTAAGTGTGAGTTGTCTGGCCCATTCCCCAGTACATAGGTATTCAATAAATGTTTCTGGGTTAGTGCAATACTTAAGAAATACAAGCATGTGTTTTAGGAGTTTAGGGGAGAAATTGCTTTGTTTATGGGGAAGAGAGGTTTCAGAGAAGTTCTTTTGGAAAAAGAAAAGGCTAGATACTGACTTTTCTTAAATGCCATGAAATAATTTCAGAGTCAGGCATTTCTGACTCTTAAGTCAGAACCCAATTGTTAAGTCAGAAATTGGGGTAGAGAGGATAGTGTGAGCATTGATTGCTAAAGTAGGTGCTTTCACGTGTGTTGATGGTTACTTGTTTGTTAAATGAAGTAATTCTCAAACTTTAATGTGTCATACCAGATTCTTAGGAATCTTGTTAAAATTTAGATTCTGACTCAGTAGGTCTGGGTTGAAGCCTGAGAGTCTACATTTCTTAAAAGCTAAGCTACCAGTTGACGGCAGTGTTGCTGGCCTGTACACCACATAAGTGTTGAATAGACACCTTAGAATGTCGGTACTTTGTCACTGGAAGTACTCAAGCAGAGACCAACTGTCCAGCCATAGATAATTCTTATATTTGAAGAGGGTTAAGTTAGATGACCCCTTTATGATTCATTGTATTCTACCCAGGAGTATTTAGTGCATTTCAAGAGCTTCACAAAATTTGTGTTTATGCACACATACATCTATCTGGTCACTGATACTGCTCAGTGGTGACCTGTGTCTGTCAAAGGAAGGCAATCCAGTGATTAAAACCAGACTTCAGAGTTATTTAGAGAGTTGGGTTCAATTCCAGCTCTACCGTTTAACAGCTGTATGTCTTTGTGCAAATTATGTAACTTTTCTGAGCTTCTTATCAGTAAATAGAGGTACTGCCATCTTAACCCTGTGAAGTAAGTAATATATGTAAAGTTTCTGATCAGGATAGGTGCTTACTGGATGTTAGTTATTATTAACTCCTAAATACAATTTTCTATTTATCTGAGTAGGCCTAAGAAAAAAGGAATTATTTATGTTGTTTAATGTTGTCTATGAAGGCACATCCTGACTTGTTGGGACCCCTAGTTGGAGAGCCTGTTTGTGATTTTCTAAAAAATAAACATGTACTTTTTGGCAGCTGTTGTGAGGGAGTGTAGAGAAGAGGTATGACTCTGAGGTGCATAATTCCTCATGTGGGGCATGCAGGGGGTTTGGATATGCCATAGAATAAACATGGTTATAATAGATTGAACCTAGAGCCTCCAGAGCTGGAAGCACCACTGTTAACATTCTGATCTGAATTGTAAGGAATGGGTACCTTAAAGGGATATTATATAACGTTAATTTACAAATACTGATTGTTCCTTATGTCCTCTGTGCAGATGGAAATAGGCATCCTTTATACCTAGATAAGAAAGCCCCTTATGCAATCTTTAAGGGAATTACATGCCAAATTATAGGCCTTTTCATTTCCCATACATTAGTTTGGTCACACTGTGGTATAAGTACAGTTGAGAGTCTGTTTCTCTTCTGTCCTCATAGCATGTAAACAGTTGGGAATAGGTGACAGAGTATATTTTAGAAAGTTTGTACCAGTTTGAAAGTCAGGAGGATTTTAATGAAAATGATTTATTTTACTTTTCTTACTTTTCAGGACCTGTAGATGAATACATGTTGCCATTTGAGGAGGAAATTGGCCAGCATCCATCTCTTGAAGACATGCAGGAAGTTGTTGTGCATAAAAAAAAGAGGCCTGTTTTAAGAGATTATTGGCAGAAACATGCTGTAAGTTATCCAGTTAGCTTTTCATTTGAAATTCCAATAAAACACTTTTCAGAGGAATTATTTATCTCTGCACATTTCTCTTTCTTCTGCAAGTATTTTCTGGAAGGTGATCTTCACACAGGATATTCTAGAGTTCTAGAGGCAGAATTAGGGCTATGTCTGTATACCCCTGAAGGTGATTGTAAAGTAATAGAGCTTTAGAGGGCTTTTGTCTCAATGGTCCTGTGCAGAAGATTGTGTCATCTATTTAGAAAGTTTCCCAGGGAAAAGGCATGCCAGACTCGGAAACTGTGGATAGTTGGGTAACTTTGCTGATGACCACTTCCAATATGACAACATTTTAAAAAGTTTATGAAGCACCATGTTTTCTCCTCTCCATGGGAGTTTGTTGTAGCCTTTTAATTTCGGCTTAGACTTTCAAGTCTTAATAGTGCTTTAAAACTATAGAGACCAGGCACATAACAGTATTGCCCTGGTTATTTCAGTCTAAATATAACTAGAAACCTGGCTAAAACCAGGTAGAGAAATCCCAAGGGTGGCTTTCTGATCTTCTGTTTAATTGTAAGATAGAAATGCTGATATTAACTAAGAAAACAATAAAAATTGGTAGGTCCCCTTTATCCTTGATTTTTGAGTCCATTTGAAGGGTTAGCATTGAAATGACCTGGGTTATGAACAAGGGATAGAGATTTTTTTTTTGGAGTTAAAAAAATTCCTCTTGTGATAGTCTCATGCTTAAAAAAAAAGTTCTGTTTGTGCTTTTCTTTATGATTCTGCACATGGTAGTCAATAAAAGTGAATGTTGACAGAAACTTCTTTGACCCAGAAAAATAGCCATTTCTTCATGAAAATTTTATTGTTTCCTAATAGAAAACAAAAACTGCTGTGGCGTTTGAGTATATGTTTTTCTCCTTTTAGGGAATGGCAATGCTCTGTGAAACCATTGAAGAATGTTGGGATCACGACGCAGAAGCCAGGTTATCAGCTGGATGTGTAGGTGAAAGAATTACCCAGATGCAGAGACTAACAAATATTATTACCACAGAGGACATTGTAACAGTGGTCACAATGGTGACAAATGTTGACTTTCCTCCCAAAGAATCTAGTCTATGATGGTTGCGCCATCTGTGCACACTAAGAAATGGGACTCTGAACTGGAGCTGCTAAGCTAAAGAAACTGCTTACAGTTTATTTTCTGTGTAAAATGAGTAGGATGTCTCTTGGAAATGTTAAGAAAGAAGACCCTTTGTTGAAAAATGTTGCTCTGGGAGACTTACTGCATTGCCGACAGCACAGATGTGAAGGACATGAGACTAAGAGAAACCTTGCAAACTCTATAAAGAAACTTTTGAAAAAGTGTACATGAAGAATGTAGCCCTCTCCAAATCAAGGATCTTTTGGACCTGGCTAATGGAGTGTTTGAAAACTGACATCAGATTTCTTAATGTCTGTCAGAAGACACTAATTCCTTAAATGAACTACTGCTATTTTTTTTAAATCAAAAACTTTTCATTTCAGATTTTAAAAAGGGTAACTTGTTTTTATTGCATTTGCTGTTGTTTCTATAAATGACTATTGTAATGCCAATATGACACAGCTTGTGAATGTTTAGTGTGCTGCTGTTCTGTGTACATAAAGTCATCAAAGTGGGGTACAGTAAAGAGGCTTCCAAGCATTACTTTAACCTCCCTCAACAAGGTATACCTCAGTTCCACGGTTGCTAAATTATAAAATTGAAAACACTAACAAAATTTGAATAATAAATCGATCCATGTTTTGTAACAAATTCACTGTGTTATTTAAGGAAAAAAAGGTAAGCTATGCTTAGTGCCAACAATAAGTGGCCATTCGTAAAGCAGTGTTTTAGCATTTCTTGTGCTGGCTTGTAATGTAGGGAAAAAAAGTGCTGTTTTTTGAAAAGATGGTGTCATTTCCCCCTTCTTCCCATGTTTTAAAGCCCCATCTTATATCCAGTTCCCAAAATTTGCATACTTACCTAAGTATTTTTTTTAGGTGTGCTGTGTTTGGGGAATATTTGAAAATTTAAAGCATGATTTAAAATTTTTTAAAGTGAGCTGTGACACTGGAAAGCTCTTCATTTTATCTTTTAAAATAGAGTTTTTTCTATTTATATATGTAAAATTGTAGTGTATTTCTTTTCACCAAACAGTGTGTGGGACATTCTTTATCACTGTTTTAGGATCACCTCAGGAAGTGTCGTTACCCAGAATTCCCCACTGTCTGCTATGAGACTTGTAACTTTATCACTATACTTCTGCTTGGTGCCATCTTGTCAGAGTAATATTTGATGTCTGTGATATGTAAAGAATTATCCTAGGATAAAGATATTAAACTTTAAGCAGATTTCAGATGTTACTGCTTTAAAACAAATCAGGGATAACAAATTAAACGTATAACTTAAAATATGCAATGACATTTAGAGGTAACCAATGTTGATATAGGTAGCATAGCCTAGCCTCCTCCCCAAAATTGCTTTTACAACTAACACTGATACTAATTTAGGATAGTTCATGCCTTATCCTTGCTAAGAAAATGGAATTGATGGTAGGCAGGTGCTAAAGTGCTTTTCAAAACAATATTACGTTAGAATACAATTGGATTCTTCCTCAAATTTATACAGGCCAAAAAGTAAAACATTAATTTTCTGAATTTCCAGATTACCAATCAATTAATCAACAAATAGCCAGTATTATGCTGTGTATTTCTGTCAGGTCATTTTAAAATCCATGTTAATTTTATAAAAGAATTTTTTACATGTCACTGTCAGGAGCTCACTGTGAATGTGTTGTCTTCAAATGGTTATTTAACCACACAGTACACTACATTTTACATATATGTACGTAATCTCTGGGAATAGTAAATTAATTATGTTATTTATAAACAATACATAGGTCAACAGACTTTAAGCAGGGAGGAAAAGAAGAGTAATAGCGTCTGTGTGCTGCAGACCATTCAGAACTGTCACGTGTGTCCCCATGGTCTCATTCATTGTATTCCTAGCAATTCCCTTTTCAATGTTGAGTTCACCTCTTTATTTCACAAAGTACTTGGTCTCTCAATTTCTTGATCTGGTTTTGCTTCCATTTAAAAACTAATCAAGAAGGGAAAATATTGAGAATGTGCATACAAGAAAATCATTAATTTCCTGAAGATGAATTTCTACCTGTTGTGAACATTTAACTTTCTTTTTAAAAGTTAAACAAAAATAAACAAGGGATATTATGATGAATGTTTGGCTTATGTGAGTACTAGAGATAAAATTTTTAAACCCAGTTATTCACAATATAAAATGTTTTCAAGTTAGAAAAAATTTTTAGAAATCCTGGGTATTGTATTTAACTGTAGCTAACCAATTTTAAAACTTGTATTCTTTTGAGAACTATTATTAATAGAAAAACTTTTTATAAGCAGTAAAATAAGAATGTTCCAGTGACTACCTGTCCTTATACCTAGTCTTGTTAAAACTTTCTTTTGCAGGGTATTTAGTGTTTGGTTTACAGTCAGTGCAGAGTGGGCAAGTTAACAGAAAGTTTGAGCTAGAGATACTGGAAAAAAAAAAGATCAAAGAATGAGAAAAATGGTGATCCATTTTGGGGCAAACTGAGACCCCCCAAATAACTCTTTCCTCATGTGTATGGTGCTCCTCATGACTCGTCTTGTATTTTGCCTTTCTGATACCCATCAGAACTGCTGCTGCTCTAACTTATACTCTTTACCTTGCCCAGATCTCCGCGTAAGGAATGCTTTATGATCAACTTGCCATAGGACTGATGGATTAACCAGTGTTCGGCTTTATTTGAAGTCTATGCCCTGCACAGCTCTTGTATGTATTTTAGATGCTAGAAGTTTTTTTAGCATGTGATGTGTGATTCTTGTTTGAATTCTAGGTACCTTGTGAATTCCAGAAAAAGAGACTGTGCTTCACGATTGTTAGTCCCATGAACTTGCACTATCTATCTTTCATGGTGATGTTTTGAAAATACAATCAGGAAAAAACCCAACACCTTTGGAATTTAAAATAGAATCATATCATGAAATTTAAAAAGAATCTCTTCTGTTGCATTTCCTCACCCCTAAGTAACAGCTACATTTAAGTAAAATGCAGGTGGTAGGGGAAAAAAAACCATGGCGAGATGGTGGTTTAGTGGAATAAACTGATTACTGGTTTTTTTGTTTTTTTTTTTTTTTTTAAAGAAAGAAGCTTCATCACAGATACTTTCCAGTTTCTCTTTTATACTTTTTTGAAAGATTACTTTTTAGGAACATTTGGTATGATATGCATAAAATTATTTATCCATTTATGGGCAAAATGATACAAGTAGCATCTTGATTGAACATCATTTACCTCAGATATTCAACCAGCAGTACGTTTTTTATGCAGTCTCAACCCATATCCCATTTGTTACCTCTCAGAATATTGGTAAGCAGTTATTTTCGCTTTACTCTGTATTTCTTGTGTTTTGGGCACAGGTTATTGTACTACTGTCAAATCGTACTTGCTATTTTTTCTGCAAGTATTTAACAGAAAGCTTAAAATCCCCATAAAACCCCACCTTGGATAAGTGATTGTTAAATATTGTACAAATAAAATGTATGCTATCCCCATTCCATCCCCAAGTTAAATAAAAAAATGAATACGGTATGATTTGCATATGCAGTTTTTCTTTAGCTATGTTTTTTTTTTTTTTTATACTTTAAGTTTTAGGGTACATGTGCACATTGTGCAGGTTAGTTACATAGGTATACATGTGCCATGCTGGTGCGCTGCACCCACTAACTCGTCATCTAGCATTAGGTATATCTCCTAATGCTATCCCTCCCCCATCCCCCCACCCCACAACAGTCCCCAGAGTGTGATATTCCCCTTCCTGTGTCCATGTGATCTCATTGTTCAATTCCCACCTATGAGTGAGAATATGCGGTGTTTGGTTTTTTGTTCTTGTGATAGTTTACTGAGAATGATGATTTCCAATTTCATCCATGTCCCTACAAAGGACATGAACTCATCATTTTTTATGGCTGCATAGTATTCCATGGTGTATATGTGCCACGTTTTCTTAATCCAGTCTATCATTGTTGGACATTTGGGTTGGTTCCAAGTCTTTGCTATTGTGAATAATGCCACAATAAACATACGTGTGCATGTGTCTTTATAGCAGCATGATTTATAGTCCTTTGGGTATATACCCAGTAATGGGATGGCTGGGTCAAATGGTGTTTCCAGTTCTAGATCCCTGAGGAATCGCCACACTGACTTCCACAATGGTTGAACTAGTTTACAGTCCCACCAACAGTGTGAAAGTGTTCCTATTTCTCCACATCCTCTCCAGCACCTGTTGTTTCCTGACTTTTTAATGATTGCCATTCTAACTGGATAAAATACTGGCAAAACGAATCCAGCAGCACATCAAAAAGCTTATCCACCATGATCAAGTGGGCTTCATCCCTGGGATGCAAGGCTGGTTCAATATACGCAAATCAATGAATGTAATCCAGCATATAAACAGAGCCAAAGACAAAAAACACATGATTATCTCAATAGATGCAGAAAAAGCCTTTGACAAAATTCAACAACCCTTCATGCTAAAAACTCTCAATAAATTAGGGATTGATGGGGTGTATTTCAAAATAATAAGAGCTATCTATGACAAACCCACAGCCAATATCATACTGAATGGGCAAAAACTGGAAGCATTCCCTTTGAAAACTGGCACAAGACAGGGATGCCCTCTCTCACCACTCGTATTCAACATAGTGTTGGAAGTTCTGGCCAGGGCAATTAGGCAGGAGAAGGAAATAAAGGGTATTCAATTAGGAAAAGAGGAAGTCAAATTGTCCGTTTGCAGACGACATGATTGTATATCTAGAAAACCCCATCGTCTCAGCCCAAAATCTCCTTAAGCTGATAAGCAACTTCAGCAAAGTCTCAGGATACAAAATCAATGTACAAAAATCACAAGCATTCTTATACACCAACAACAGACAAACAGAGAGCCAAATCATGAGTGAACTCCCATTCACAATTGCTTCAAAGAGAATAAAATACCTAGGAATCCAACTTACAAGGGATGTGAAGGACCTCTTCAAGGAGAACTACAAGCTACTGCTCAAGGAAATAAAAGAGGATACAAACAAATGGAAGAACATTCCATGCTCTTGGGTAGGAAGAATCAATATTGTGAAAATGGCCATACTGCCCAAGGTAATTTACAGATTCAATGCCATCCCCATCAAGCTACCAATGACTTTCTTCACAGAATTGGAAAAAACTACTTAAGTTCATATGGAACCAAAAAAGAGCCCACATCGCCAAGGCAATCCTAAGCTATGTGTTCTTAAAGAGGGGAGTGGTAGCTTTGTAACTTACAGTGAGGCTTACACCTTGACAACTGCAAGAATGAGGATAGTGGTGAGTGAAGGGAGATTTGTTAATTATGGCATTTCCCTCTATTATCGTCTAAACAGATTATATTCCCACTAAAGTATGTGTGTTGGTCCTGCCAGTATTAGAAACCAGAGGCTTGTTGGCATTGTGTCACACAGTACACACCAATGGATTCTCAGATTTTCTAGGGTAAAGGTGAAGGATGGGGCAGCACTTAGGTTATGGTGGTTTGAAAGAAACTGAATTGCTTTCTAAACCAGATGAGGATCAGAGTGCGAACCATGGTGAAATATGCATGGAAACTACAGAAAGACTGAAGTGTTTCTTACGGTGTTTTCTGCAAAACGTGATTCATTAGGACATTAACAGGTATTACGTTTTCAACATATACAGCATTATGATACAGTAAGTTTGGACCAAACAGGTATTCATTCCCCAGAGCCTTTCACATGCACGAGAATCAGTCATTTTAACAAGAATTCCGTTTCTGCTGGGCCACTTGGATCCCTTGGATTCAGATGTAAAAACACACTGAAATATTCCTCCTTTCACCTGCTTTTCAGTTTGAGGTAATCAGATTGAAAAGCAGGAGTTCATGCATTTTTTGGTTCTATTTTTCCTCCTCTAGTAAATGAAGAAAATAAGCTATATGTATAAGTTTACATTATTCTTGAACCGCTTTTTAAACTAGGGTTTTTCATATTTGTTTTTATTGATGACAATTAAAGCAATTTAAGAGACGAAGTTAGCTCAAAACTCTTGCGAATAGATTTTAGCATTTTTGTATGAGGGAATATGGAAAGGCCAACAAGCAGCACTGTTCCTCCCCACAAAAATGCCTTGGGAATATAATAGGCGTACACTTCATTTGTGTAACTTTTCCTAATGTATTTTTTTTTAATTTGCTTTATAACGGTTTCATGTTTACCTCAATTGGTACTTAGTCTTAAAATCTTTCTTTATACTTGGTTATTGATGGATCTTCTGCAGCTCTTATGTAGCCAATGAGACAGATGAGGGCTGTCAGCTTTTAAGTGACATCTTAAGCTAATAAGAAATTGGAATCCTCAAGTCATTTCATGAGGCTGTTACCCTTTAAGACAAATAATACTTTCCTCAAATAGTTCAGAAAATTTTTAAAAGGATCACTTAGAGCATAAGTGTAAAATTCTTGCTTCTAGTATATAATAGTGATGTTACCATGTCAAGTATTTTGGTGAAATATCCCCTAAAAATGTGTAGACTACGGCACAGATTGAGTATGCAAGCCTTAGCTTGAATGAGACTGCTGAGAAGTAAATGACAGGGATCTGAATACTTAGCAGGCTTAACTTTTTGCAGGGAAGGAAAGGCTATGTATGCAAAAGAATAGGTTGTAACTACTGAAGAGCTACTTTATGCTCAGAAACCTTTTATTCCACTTTGTATCCAAGATTTCATTAAAACATTGTTCCTTAGAGCATACTTTAAAAACTATTTGGTAAGGAATCCACTGTTGAACTTCAGGTCTTAATAGCACTGGCTTTGGTGCTAAACTGAGTTGAATTCCAAGCCTGTTGGCCATTCCCAGCATTGCCACTGCTGTGTTAGTTTTCTCATCTGTAAATAACTGCCTACATCTCACAGGGCCTCTAATAGTTAAATAGATTGTAAGCTGCACAAGCATAGGGACAGTCTGTCTTTTGTAAACCTCCCATGCACACAATAGGAAATCAAATATTCTTGAACAAATGAAGTCACTAAGTGCTCATTAAATTTCATTTTAAATATATGCCTCTGTTAATTCATGGATCTTGGAACTTACTTAAAAGACAATGCTTTGACGGACATTTCCACATTCCTCATAGGGATTTACTTTTTAATACAAACAGGTTCAGTTAACATTGCCATACACATCTCATTACTTTTGGGAGTGCTTTTCCAGAAATCTCTGGTAGTCACGTCACTTCATGATGGGGCTACGTTCTGAGAAATGTGTCTTTGGGTGATTTCATCACTGTATGAACATCACAGAGTATACTTACACAGACCCTGATGATATGTATATAGCCTGTTACACACTTAGGCTATACAGATAGCCTAGCCTATTACTCTTCAGCTATAGCACTGTACAGAATGTTACTGTAATCATACTGTAGGCAACTGTAACACAATGGTAAAACATTTGTATATTTAGACATAGAAAAGGTACAGTAAAAATATGGTATAATCTTATGAGACCACCCTTTATACAATGTCATTGACCAAAATGTTACGTGGTGCCATGACTATACTTGTTAAGAAGGAAAATTCCAGTCCTTTTGACCTATGGTAGGCTCAACAATCTGTAATTTTAGAAAATCCTACAAGGGATTCTGATGTGGATGGTATGAGTACCACATTTTGAGATGTCTAGAAGAAAAATCTTCAAACTCCTTGGCCTTTTTCTTCCATGGAACCATCTTCTGACTAAGCTGGTTAGTCTTCTGAACTAGAAAACCTGGGTCTGGGATAGAATCCAAAATTTGCATGTGGACAGAAAAAAACACTGCAGCAAACCTGCTGTACCAAAGGTTACTTATTATACTTCAGTGCTTACCATTGTTTTTTTTACTCCTTTGGTTTAAGGTTTGTAAAGACATCTAGCTGTTAGGTTGAAGTGAGCTCTTCAAATAGACCATTATATATATAAGTGTTAAAAAAGCACATGGTCTAGTCCCTAAAACAGTCATATTTTATTCTTCTGAACAGCTACTTACAAAGTAATCTCAATCAGTGAAATTATAAATCATGTAACTGTTCATGATTAAAAGGCAAGACACAGCCAAGACAGTAGATGGGCAAGTCTCACATAAATACAAGAATGTTTATAGAATGTTTAGCATATCATGTTAATGGACAATAGTTTTCCGTTCTCTACAGAAGTATGAATGAAATGCCAAAGTTGAAGTCACTGGTTATATTCATAACCAGCTTAGTGAGGATGTTGCCCACTGCCTCACATCTGTAGGACAGTTGGGATATTTCTGCAGAGCATTCATAATTTGAGTATTATCCAAAAGCAGTTTCATCAGCTGGTACTCTCTCTGTGAATTTCCTGAAGTTCTTTCCATGGGCTTTATTAATTCTAATTGCTGCAAGTGTTCAAAAGCCTGAAAGATGAAAGAAATAGTTTAGGTTGAATAGGAGAGGAGAGTGACAACTCTCCTGTTCTCTCCCAGAGAACAGTTAGCATTTTGGTCAGCTGCAGAACAGAGTACTGGGAAGCAAAATGTAACAACAATCAATAGGATTAAAAAAACTCTCACAACCCCATGAAAACTCATATTATCAGGTAAAACAGTGTCAGTGCACACTTACTTGTCCATATATTGTTGAATGTAAACACGGCAAACTTTAATTCAATATATACAATATGGTTTTCTTCCTAGCCTCATTCTCTATCATAGCTCCTCCTAGTACTTTAATAAATAGTTTCCAGTTCTCTGTAAAAACCTAAGAATCAGATAAGACTTTCTGATCAATTCCCTAGGCTACTCAGATTTGCATTTATATTTTGTCTGTCTCTATTTTTGCTTTGCTATGTAAAAAGGTAACACAGCTGTAACAGAGGGAGGCAGAAAAAGACCCTTGAGTCAACTAGACATATTCAGCTGATCCTGTAAGTAAAGGATTCAGCAGGCTAGTATGGACATGGAGGAGAAGGGACAGGCTCCTGTTTCCTCTAAGAAGTCTGACTGAGACTGTCACAACCTTCTTCCATCTTCCCCATCTTAATAGGGCTCTTTCTTGTCTACTTCCTCTTATCCTTAATATTCACCTATTATATCTTTTCTAACCTTGAGTGTTGTGTTAGGTACGTTATTAGGTTATGAAAAAAAAAACCATTAAATCATGATATACTAACCATTAAATAATGATACACTGAAATAGATTCCTGAGGATTCTATTATATTCTTACAACTCACTGTAAAAAACATCACTGGAACATATTCTCTATGTATCACATAAATTCTTCTGATAGAGAAACAGCTCAGATACCTTCATATCTGAACATGAGAAAATACTGGAGGCTGCAGGTGTTAAGAGCTGAATAGAACTGTGCAGATTTAAAACATTTCTAAATAGCAAAATACTTCATAATTGAAAATTCAGAAATGAGCAGCTACAAATTATTGAGAATTTAAATGCAGGCTGGGCGCAGTGGCTCACGCCTGTAATCCCAGCACTTTGGGAGGCCGAGGTGGGCGGATCATGAGGTCAGGAGTTTGAGACCAGCCTGACCAACATGGTGAAACACTGTCTCTACTAAGAATACAAAAATTAGATGGGCATAGTGGTGCACGCCTGTAATCCCAGCTATTCAGGAGGCTGAGGCAGGAGAATCGCTTAACTTGGGAGGCAGAGGTTGCAGTGAGCCAAGATTGCGCCCGCCACTGTACTCCAGCGTAGGCGACAGGAGACTCCATCTCAAAAAAAAAAAAAAAAAAAAAATTTAAATACTTGGGTAACCTTTCCATTTTCACAGCTCTCACAAAATAAGACTATTAGGGGAAAAAAACCCTCCAGTATTGTAAAATACTTTTCCTGTTTCTTTGAAGAAATGGCAATGCTCTGTACTCATTTTTGTTGCTACAAGAAATGAAATTCTGGTTACTAGGGCCTATAAGGGATGCCAATGGACTTGGGGAATCCACTGTTTTAAAAGTTTCTTTCCTTAAAATCTTCAAGAGCTGCACTGTCCACGCTAGGCTACTGAGCACTTCAATGTGTGACTCAATTTTTTTTTAAACTTAAAAATGGATATTTAGTTCTATTAGAAAATTCTGAGCATGTTTAGAACAATTTCAAAATGTAAATTTACTTTCTCAGCTATACATTTTATGGAATCTAAACAGCAAGAATTTCCAGTAAACATTTAGGCCATTGAGATGTGCTTAAATATAATGTACACCAAATGTTAAAGACTTAATTCAAAAGAATGTAAAATACCTTACTGTTCTTCTATAATGATTATAGAATGACACATTTTTGATATGTTGCATTAAATATATAATTAAAATTAAACCTTTTTATTTTTCTTACAGGTACTAGAAAATTTAAAACTACATTACATGGCTCACATTATCTTTGTAGTGGACAATGGTAATCTACATGAAGTCCTGAAGTTGTAAAACTCATGACTCAGCCCCCAAATAACACTTTCTCTGTATGCCCTCACAGGCCAATAAGATTTTGTCTTTTAAGTTTCTTAATGGCTCTAATTTTCATTGTTTTCTCCTTTTACTGCTGAGATTATAAAAGCCAATCCTTGGGTTGGAAAGGGAAAGGTTATATCACACACTATACTGAATAGTTGTTTTCGGGATGCAAGTGCTCTGAAGAGACAGCAGAGGGCAGTATACCTCCACAAACTAAAACAACCGGTCACTTCCTCAGATTTTTCCAAAATATTTCATTTTTAGATAATTTTCTTGTTTTGAAAAAAATCTCTATAATACTTAATGTTTAAAAATGAAAGTGCAATTTTAATACATAATCAAATTGGATGTAAAAAATATACTTGTCTGTAGAAAAATGACAGCAAACTAAATCTTACCTTCATGACAACAGGTTTTTCAAAATTATAAACGGAATGTGCTTTCCTTTGAACAAACTTCTGAAACTCTGAGTAGAAAGCAATGACAACATTATACCTTCAAATAAGCAGTGGGGAAGAGTCAGAAAAAAGCTACTTAAGTCTCATCTCACCATTATAGACCATTTGAAAATTAAATGGCTCTTCCTCATAGATGTCATTTAAATGTTTCATTGCTATTATAAGACAGATTTCCAAGACTGATAGACCTACAGTAAAAGGGAAAAAAAACTATCAGTTTAATGACATATAAGACTGAAATAACTGTTCTCCAAAGAATACAATATAGTGAAAGATCTATGGTTCTGAGGGGTGAAGAAGGTCAAGATTCTTCTAGATTTCAATGTGTTTCAATTATCTATATAAATTTAAGTTACTTAACCTCCCTGAGCTTAGTTTTTTTCCTATCTGCAAAATAAGGATATTTTTAAACTTTTAGAAATGTCACAAAGATTGGCGAAATATTATCAGGCACTCACCATATGGCCCACAGTAAACAAAATAAACTTCAATTGTTATGTGACTTTAAATCACACAGGGCCTTTGCGTAGGATTTATCTAGAGACTTCCTAAACTCCTGGAAATTATATCCAAATCTGTGTATTCCTTTTTTCCCCGGAGAGGAAAAGGTTCATTACATTTGGAAAAGGAAATAACAAACCCAAAATGACTGAAACCCAGAGAATGCTCTTCAGTAGTTCTTGATACAATGATAACATCAGCAACACAGTCTTACCTGGATTTCCAATGTGGCAAAAGAGGCAGAGCGTCAAATTTTTTTTTCACTTTAAATGGGAGTGATAGTACCTTTAAAAGGACTAAGTTAAAGGCTATATGGATACGAAAGTATTTTATAAAGCATTATGCCCACGTTAATTGTAATTTTAAAAACATTCCATTATCTAAATTCAAAGTTTTAAAAACCACAATTTAAAAAATAAGGCTGGGTTCTCACCATGTACAATATTTGCTTTCGAGTCCATGCTACACAGTTGGCTTGCTTCCATTAGATCTACGGCAGTCATAAATGGGTGCGATGCTGTTACTCGATTTAAAGCAAGCATCTAGGGAAAGACAGATCAGAAAAACAATTACGTATTTACATGGGCATTTTGGAGATACTGTGCAAAACTTCTGAATTTGTATAGTTAATTCTTAAGGGAGAGTAAATATTAATGCTTAGGAAGGTATTCTCAAATTCAGTTGTATTAAAATACAGTATTTCAATTTGTGTGTCACATAACTGCAGATGTAAAGCATAAAAAAAGTTCCTGCTGCTCTCTCTAACCCATCCCAGTTGCATAACTTGTTTACTTACTGCTTGGAAGAACAATGTTTAAAGAGGAGTAGGTCAAGGAGAAGAAACTGAAAATAATTAAGAATACTTACTAATAAAAGCCCCAAACACAAGCCCAAAAGGCAGATCTACGCCTTACTTGTTAACTTTTTCACCACCCAATCATCCAGCCAGGTTAGTATTAATTTAGACAGAAGTTAGCTGTTTTATGTTCAATTGTACAAAAAAGAAAAGAAAATAGCACATTTATACTCAGGAATAACTCTCCTTGAAAGCACAGTCTCCTTCTCTTGTGCTGCTTCTCTGTTCAAAAATGAACAGAGGTCCTGGACCAGAGTTGCTACTCAAGTATTTGAAGATTTCCTTCCTTCCTTCTTTATTTGTATTTTTCATGAAAGTTAAATTTGGTCATTTAGGGTTACAAGATTTAGCAGATAAAAATGCATGACCTCTGGTTAAATTTCAATTTCAAATAAACAATAAATAGTTTCTTAGTAGTATGTGCCATGCAATATTTGGGATATAATTATCCAAGAAACTCTCCTTCACCTTAACAAGGGCGCAACTGATTAGCTGGGCAGAGAGTTTGGCAATCCTTGTCCTTCATTCTCCTACTGGTTGGGACCTAGATTGCCAGTGCTCCCTCCCTTTCTCTCTCCTTTCCTTTTTCCTTTAGTTATTAATTTTTTAATTTTTATTTTTTAACTTCATTTTTCCATAAGTTATTGTGGTATGGGTGGTATTTGGTTACATGAGTAAGTTCTTTAGTGGTGATTTGTGAGACTTTGGTGAATGCATCACTTGAGCAGTATACACTGCATCATATTTGTAGTCTTTTATCCCTCGCCCCACTGGAAAACAATGTGGAGATTCCTTAAAGAACTAAAAGTAGAACTACCATTTGATACAGCCATCCCACTACAGGGCATCTACCCAGAGGAAAAGAAGTTATTATTTGAAAAAGAAAGAAGTCATTATTTGAAAAAGATGCTTGCATGTGCATGTTTATAGCAGCAAAACTCACAATTGCAAAATCGTAGAACCAACCCAAATGCCCATCAATCAACGAGTGGATAAAGAAACTGTGGTATATATATACTATGGATATGGATAAAGAAACTGTGGTATATATATACTATGGATATATGGATATATATATATATGTGGTATATATATACTATGGATACTACACAGTCATAAAAAGGAATGAACTAACAGCATTTGCAGTGACCTGGATGAGACTGGAGACTATTATTCTAAGTGAAGTAACTCAGGAATGGAAAACCAAACATCGTATGTTCTCACTGATATGATATGTGGGAGCTAAGCTATGAGGACACAAAGGCATAAATTTTTTTTAACATATACAAAGGCAACAGAGAATAATAAATATCTATGACTACTTTACCTGCTTAAGAAATATGATTTTAGAGTTGAAGCCCATCTCCTCCGGATTGGACTCTACTCTTCCCCACATAAAACAACCAAGTATGTCTATACTATTAGGTTGGTGCAAAAGTAATTGCCATTTTGGGCACTGAAAGTAATGGTAACTTTTGCACCAACCTAATACTTCTACTACATATACATGTATTATACAACAGAGTAATTTTCAACTTTTATATAAATATATTGTATCTTCACAACTCTCTTCACTGTGAGGTTTTACCCATGTTGAGGCAGTATCAATTCTGGTTTATTCATTTTTTCATTATATTTCTTTGTATATATCCACGATTATTCATTTCCTAATTTCCTATTGACAGACATCTTTCATTTCTTTTTTTTTCCCAATTATAAACAAGACTGCAATAAACAACCTTGGACATGTCTTCCTGTGCATTAGGTAACTAGACTTTCTCTAATTAGTATGTTTCTCTAGTTACCTAATTTGCTAAATAAATTGCTCTCCAAAGCACTTACACATATTTACATTGGCAGCAGCAATAAATATTAATAGTCACAGTCATGATACCATCAAGCATAATCTTTAACACCCACTAGATTGGCAAGAAAAAAAAAGTTTAATTGTAGTATTTCTCTGGTTACTGGAGAGGCTGAAAATCTGTAATCTATAATGAGCTTCCACAGTAAGACAATGACAACAAATAATGGGATGAGCTAAGAATATGAGTAAGCAGCCCTCAAAGTAGAATCCCATATGACAAAAAACAAGCCATTATTTAATTCATTACCATGAATTAAAAATGTAATAGAAAAATGGCAGAACAATGGCCGTTAATATTGACAATACTGAGGCAGAGATATTTTCCCAGATGGAGATGTGTGTGTATATATATATACATACACACATACACACACACACCCCTCCTCTAAAAATTACTAGTCCCCAAATTCCTTCATGATATGCTGAAAATGGCAGTATGCTTTTGACAATAGAAGAAAAGTAAATAGGGATAAAAAGACTTAAATTCCTCAGCAGAAGCAGCAATGAGGAAAGAAAACTTGTATATAAACATGGGTGAACCATACAGCCAAGTAGGACACAAACTTGAAGCCAGAGAGCTTTGGATTAAGTCCTGGCTTTGTTATCTACTAGTAGTGTGACCTTCGGCAAGTTACTTAGCTTTAAGGAGCCTCAATTTCTTTAGGGGTAAGAATAAAAAATAAGATTATTCCAATGGCCAGACATAATATAGGTACTACTAGCATCAACAGTACTTGGCTCATATGCCAGTCCATAAATGGTAGCTACTGTCATTATTATTCTATTATTATTAAAAATGACCTTTCTATGAAACCAAAACTATCTTGTCTTTCAAAGGTATTTGCCATAATTTTCTAGAAATATTAGACTAAAACCAAATACTCTTAGTGAAGAAAGTTAATTTTCAGAACAATTAAGTACTTCTTGTTTGATATTGGTATTATGTAAGCTTAAGATATAATTACTTGGCAAAACATCATAACCAGGTAGGATTTATTCCAGGTATATAAGGCTGGTTCAACACTCAAAAAATAACATAATCAAATATATCAACAGGTTAAAGAGAAACATGGTCATGCGAAACGATCGAGAATAAGCATTTGACAAAATCCAACACCCATTTATAAGAAACTCTCAGCAAGTTACAAACAGATGAGGATTACCTCAACCTGATAATGAACATGTATAAAAAACCTACAGCTAACATTATACTTAATGGTAAAAGTTTGAATCCTTTCTTCCTAAGACTGGGAACAAGAAAGGATGTCCACTCTCACTGCTCTAATTCAACATAACACTGGAAATTCTAGCCATTGCAAAAAAGCAAGAAAAGAAATAAAAGGCATACAGATTGGAAAGAAAAAAAAAACCGTCACTATTTGTGAAAAATGTAATGGTCTACATCAAAAGTCCCAAGGAATCTATTAAAAAACCTCTTAGAATAAGTGAGTTCAGCATAGACTATAAGTCAATCACATTTCTATATATTAATGTGTATATATATAATCAATCACATATTCTATATGTAATGAATATGTGGGAAATGTAATGAATATGTGGGAAACCAAAATTTCAAAACCCATTTACAATTGTTCTAACAAATTAAATATTGGTATACACATTAAATAAGTACATCATCTGTGTAGTAAGAGCTATAAAATGCTGATGAAAGTAATCAAACAAGAAATCAAATAAAAGGAGATATGAACCCTATTCAGAGATTGGAACACTCGATGTAGTGTTCCAATGCATGTCGATTCTCCCAAAATTTACCTACAGGTTTAATCAATTCCCATAAAAACTTAATTATCTAATGAAAGATAGAAAATGATAAAAGTAGGCTGGGCACAGTGGTTGATGCTTGTAATGTCAGCACTTAGGGAGGCAGAGGTGGGAGGATGGCTTAAGGCCAGGAGTTCGCAACCAGTCTGAGCAACAAAGTGAGACCCCGTCACTATTAAAAACAAAAACAAAGCAACAAGCAATAAAACAAAACTAATACAAACCAATAGCATGTGTAATGACCGCAGGTTTTTGCTGATATTGAAATGCTTCTGTAGTACTTCTTGCACACTTCTATCTTCTGAGAGATACTAAAAGGAAAAAAAAAAAAAAAGCCAAAATTGAGGAAAGATGTAGTTTAAAACCTAAATATAATCCTGTGCCTTACTGGTTGGTGTACCTTAGTAACTCTATCTAATATTAATTCATTATTAAATAGATGTTGGTCTTATTTGTAGAACACTAAAACCAAAATAAAGTTTCCAGTCTACTGATTTTCTTATCCTGTTCTTTACGTTAATTCAATAAACACAATGATAAAACAATCCTGGCTAACCCCAAATTCGTACTTGAATAAGGGAAACTACTACACAGTCATACTAGTGAAATGAACAAAATGCAGCACAAAAACAGAAGTGCATGAGTTACTGTACCTAGGGATACAAGGTAAAGTATTACAAAGAATGCTTAAACTGGATGAGACAAGAGATTTAAAAAAGAAGGAAGAACATTCCAGTTACAGGGAACAGCATGAGTAGCAGGAAAATTATCACATTGGCAGAAAATGAGTAGTCACGTACTGGAGTTTCAATTACTGGCAAAGTGAATGTACAAAAAGAAAAGGCAGAAAAACCTAACTGGAGGTAGCTGTCCAGACAAGAGGTAAAGTGGGTCGGAATTATCTGAGTGTTATGAAGAAAAAAGAATTAAGACGTTTATAGGAGTACATCTGGTAGAGAATTAACTGGTAGCAGAAGAGAAGGAAGGGTTTGAAAGGTAGAAGATAAAAATCAAACATGATCTATGGGAAACAAAATGGCCTGTGAAAAGTGAAATGTGGTCAAAAAATGAATCTTGGATTATTAATATTTAAGTAGTAGGTGGGAAAAGAGAAAAACTAAGAAATTAAGAAAGATACCAAAGACTGGAAGAGAATCTAAGACAGAGTAGAGATCTAGAAAACAAGGGAACAAAGTTTTAAGAGAGAAGTGAGGTTCAACAATATAAACTACTTTGTAAAAAGATATATTTGAGAAGAGGCTAATGGCTTTAGAAATTCAAAGATCACCACAGCCCTTTGAGAAAGTACCATCTAAAGAGGCAAGTGACTGCAGTAATTAGGGTTGAATGGAAGGTGAGGAACACTGGCATTGAAGAAAAGATTAGATGAAAAAAGAGTAAATTCAGAAGTAGCAGAGCCAAGAAAGGCCTGGAAAAGATTGTCATAATTTTTCAAAAATCATCTGCATGGAATAAGGATTCTTTTAAAAAAAAAAAAAAGCCCAGAAAACTAAGCATTTCTGTATTTTCTAGAGCTGTAATTATATGTCTTTACTTTGTCCACTCTAAGAAGACCAGATTCAGAAGTAAGTTCTAGTCTACTGGAATAAAATTTTATACTCTCAGGAAATATATTATCTTAATTATAGTTCCCACTCCCTTGCTATTGTTTCTAGTCTTCTCTTTGTATTTTAAAGGACTTCTGGTTACTATATCTTTTTCTATCACAAACACGGTAGAATATCCTTGGAAGTACACAGGGTGAACATAAAAAAAACAAAGTAATACCTTTTGGAAATTAAAAAAAAATTTGTTTAGCTTTTCCAGTTTTAAAATTGCAATATGGAAGATATGTGGCTAAATATCACAGGCAAACTATAGTCTTGGTTTCTGTAATCTGTAAGTTGTAAAAGTTGATGTGGTAAAATCGGAGCACTTAGGAAAACTAAAGAAAATCACCTGGGACAAAATTGAAGAAATTTTCTCTGCAAGAATCAATTATTTTTAAAACCTGCATTTGCCTCTCTTTGACATGATGCTTCAAAGGTTAATCTTCTATACTCCACCTTCCTACTTTATCTCTTTATTTTTTAGTGGTTTGACTCCAATTCCCCCTCTTTCTAAAAGCTATCGCCTTCTTGCTTCTATAATTACTTATTCTGCTTTTTAAAATGCCTACCTTATCTACATGAGCCATTTAAACAAAAAAAATTGTCTAACCTCGTTCATTATATTTTTAATTCCATCTTGATTCAAACACTATACTCTATTTGAGGATAAGGCTATTATCAACAACCACATAAGCTACAGTACTTTGGGAGATTTCATTTGAGGAGAATAAGGTATGATTCTTTTAAATGTTCTTTTCAAAGGATCCCTCTTATACTGCCATGCTAAGATAGAGTCTACTTTGCTTATTTGACTCATTTGAAGTAGGGCTAAAACAAACCTTCAAATTAGGCAGGATATCAAGGTTCAATCTTATCCTGAAGATATTTCTTGGATGAGATTCCATGTGTGACCTGTTATCTGTATCACTGCTATTGGCTTAATCCTGCCATTCAAAATAGCTTCCTGGATAATCGGCACTAAGAGAAAGAATAGCTCCCTTAATGCAGCTACCACCCTACTCCACAAGGCAGGGACTCTGACCATGGTGCTGACAGATTTTTCAAGTGAAGCTCATTTTATTCACATACCAAAGACAGGCACAAGATGATCAGGATAGGGGAAGAAAATATTAGAACTCAGAGACACAAACACCAGTGATGCTGGTTCTACTTAATGAAACTGACTATTAAGACTATCAAAATGATGACAAGACAGTGCTCACATGCAGGGGATTTAAGGTCTGCAACAAAAGTCCAGAAAGTAGATTAGTTATGCTACTAACACATGGTTATCATTTTCTAAGTCACGCAGTTATACTTCTTCACCAGTAACTCCCAGCATCCTCTTTATTTATAGACTCAATTTGAGATGCTCAGAATGCAACACAGTTGGGAAGGAAAGTGGATGAAAAATGGCACAGTGCAACCTAGACCATGTAGTTACCTTAAGAAGATTAAGTGTGAGCAGGTATGGAAAAAAAAAAGCCCATGGAAAGTACAGACATTTAAATACTATGAAAGACTACATTTGAATCTCTAAAACAGCCAGAAAAACATACTGGTGGAATAAGACAATCAGTTCAGGAGTTGTAGAAGATGAAAGTCTGTGAGGCACTGAAAAGTAGATCTAAAAGCTGAAGATCCAGAGGTCTGGTTCACACCAGACCCCAGTAAAAGGGGACAATGTGGGAGTACCAACTACAAAGAAGGTGCTCCTATAGATGGAATCCTATAATTAGAAATAGTATCAAAGACACTTGGTCAGGTAATTGAAATACCCGAGTCTCAGGAAAGATTGAGTGGAAGGGAGGATCCATACCTAATTATATCAAGGCATAATATCTGAATTTTAAAGATAATGTCAGCTATTTTTACATACAATTATGTATAGTTGTATTAAGAAAAAGAACAGGGAATTATTAATCATAACAATGGGAAAAAAGTAATATAAAAATATGTAGGCTTTGAGTCCTTTATGTAAAAACAACATATTTAGCATGTATATAAACTCTGCAATGTTGTAGACCAAGTAATTATTCCATAGTAGAAGAAAGGAGAATTGATATAGTCTTAAGGGAAACTTCCACTGTTTATCATGTATTCTTTTGCACTAATTACATTTTGTTCAATAAACTTTTATGATATTTTAAAAAAATGAAATGTGTCAAAATACTGCTTACATGAGCAGACTATATTTTATAATCAAACAATAATCATTTAAAGAACAAACTAAATGCAAAACGCTTCCAATTTAGTATTAGTATTTAAAAATTCACGGTAAAAATACAATCTACCACTATTGCTTTAAAATAAAATGATCCTTTTTATAGAGTCAGTGAATATAGACTGTGTAATTCTATTCAAAGATCTAATTATCCTTACCGGTATTTTAACATTATAAATCAGTTTTTCCCAATTCCTTCAGAGCCAGGGACTCTATATTATTTTCCACTCTCACGAGGCCAATATTTTTTGAGATTCTAGCATAAGGGACTTATTCATTAATGATGTTTTTCAATTATATTATTAAATACACACACATATGCATACTTCCTCCTTTCTCTTTGCCAACTGAAACTTTTTGACAGCGTAAGATTAAAATGCTAGTGTGTTGAGAATATTTTAAGCACAGGTAAATTTATAGTCTCAAAGGTGTGGCAAATCTTTAAAACAACATATGAACCTGCCTTTGTATCTAAGACTCTCAAGTCTCCAGGGACTGTGAGATGTGATCACCTATTAGATAATATAACTGGAGGTGCCACAGTCTGTACTGCCTCTTAAGGCCCAACAAAATAAAAGCTGAAGTTGCTAATGAAAACTGGAAGAAAAAAAATATCCACACATAATAGGTATGAGTCATTAACATTTATTTATCATTATTTACTATTTATTATTATTGCTAAATATGTAAAATATATAAAATAAAATTATCTAAAATATAAACCACATACAGATAAAACTAAAGCCTCATTAAAGTTTACTTCAAACTAATAACATAAATCCTAAAGCTTAACTGTGATGTTCTTTTGAGATAGAATTTAGGAGAAATGACATTTCAACTGTCTAAGAAGAAAATTTTTAAAAAGTATATAATTTGTATTACTGCAGCATTATCCTTCAGCAATATTAGAAACTTTGTGTTAATTTACTAATTTCTAAAATTTGTGTTTTAATTGCTTTAAATCATATAGCAAGGAACATTTAGCTTTATTGCCTTTTAAGATACCTGAACATTTTCATTCCACTTCTCAGCAAAAACCTTGTCTGGAAACTCTGCAGGTAGAGATAACTGTTCTTTAAATATTTTAACATACTGTGGAAAACCAAATGAATTCATTAAGTGTATCTGCCGGTGAGAAAATCTTGACTTCACTCTTTTTTCTAAGAGTTCCAAAATATCCTTAAAAACAAACAGAAATCTCTATAAGGAAGATGAATGTTTTTAAAAAAACAAAAACACTGTACCAATGTTAGAGGTATAAGTAAACTATCACCTATAATTAGTAATGTTTAGTCTACAATACATAATTAAACATTTAAAACATTTTATGCAAACTAAATAATCCACCTCCAGGCATTTGCTGGCTTGGTGATGTCATGCCTTTTTCCCACCATGTTACTCTCAGCTAATCTGTAACATTCCAAGACCCAACATGACTGTTTAAAAAAACTGACAATATTGAATAGCTATATGTCACAATAACACCAAGAGTGTCAATAAGGAATTCTGTACATTCTATGAAGAACTGAGATTAAAAAATTAATAGCATGATAGGCAGCAGGAACCAACTTTAGGAGAGGAAAGTGGCAGAAATGCAACATGGCATTCGTAAGTTATCTTCCGGCTTTTTTTTTTTTATAGTAATGCTTTTAGACTCTATTTGTATTTGTGCTATTTTTCCTTAAAAAGAAATCAGGAATCAAATTTACTGTCAAAGAACACTAAAAACCAAAGGATAACTAATATGTACTGCTTGTAAGGACATACGAAGTGTTCTTAAATGAAGAAAATACTTCCACAAAACTGATAGGCATTCAAACTATCCAAGACATCAAAAGCACAATAGGTAAGCTGTCTTCCTAAGTCACATATATTGCAGGAACTGTCATTCCTAAATCTCTTTTTAATAATGAACTTGAGCAATTTTTCAAAATATATTATAGTACACAGCATATTATATATAATATATATAATTTATATTATATATGTATATATACATCTATATATATACAGTATAGTATAATATATATTTATTACTTAAGTTACACTCCAAGGTATACAACCAAGACAAATGAAACCAGATAACCACAAAAAAAGTGTATGTGAATGTTTGCAGCAGTATTATTTTTAATAGCTTAAGAAATATAAACAACCCAAATGTCCATCAACTGATGAATGGATAAACAAAGTGTGGTATATCTACACAACAGAATATTATTTGGTAATAAAAAGGAATAAAGGGCTGATATATGCTGTAACACAGATCAACTCTGAAAACATGTTAAAGAAGCCAGTCACACAAAACTATACGTTGTATGATTCAAAAATTACTAAACAGTCAGAAAGTGGATTAGCAGATTAGTGGTTGCATAGGGCTGGGGAGGGAACAGGGGATTTGGGGTGATCACTAAAAGGTACGTGGCTCTTAAACTGTGGTGATAAATGCACAACTCTATGAATAAACAAAAACCCTGTTAATTGTATAATTTAAATGAGTGAGTTGTATGGTATAAATTACATCTCAATAAAGCTGTTTTAAAAACAGTGACATGATATTTGATGACTTTAAGGAATTACAGCTAATATAACAATTATATTAGGGAAATATATTTTTAAAGAGCTCTTATCTCCTAAAAATACATTCTAAAATACTTACTGATAAAATGATATAATACCTAGTTTTTGCCTCAAAATAATACAGGAATGAAAGGAGATGTTGAGGATAAATAAAATTAGTCTGTAGTAATTGAATCTTGGCAATGAGTGGAGAAGGGAATTCAGGGCTCATTATTTATTCTTTCCTATGTATATTGTTGAAATGTTATAAAGATTTTTAAAAGGGGAGTAGTTTAAGCCCAGAAATATACATCTCCACATCTAGCCAGATGACTCTCATAATACCTACGTGAAGAAATCATGATATAGAGGAAAGAATTCAAGTGATCAAAATGGGATCATGGTTAGTTTGGGAAGGTGGACAGGAAAGACTAATAGCCTGAGGTAGGAGGTGGGAGGGTGAATAAAAAATTTTGAATGTTTTTATGAGGTCAAAGAAAAGTATAGTGCCAGCATGAGAACTAAAAGACAAGAAAGGTTATATTCAGAGATTCAGATATTGTACATTTATTTTCTATTAAGAAAGAGTTCTAGGTCACCCATATAGGTAGACAGTGGAAGTAATAATCTATACAAGCAACAATTCAGACCCTAAATTTGGGAATGAAAAGAGATGGAAGTAAATACTGTCTTTGTAGTAGGCAGTAATGACAGAAGTTGGCAATGTGGGCATACAGGAACTAGTAAAAACAAAACAAAACCAAAAAACAAAAATGGAATTACTCCCAATGGGGAAGAAGATGCTTGCTGGCAAAGTCACTACTCCCTCTATACTTTTGTTCTCTCCCTATAAACGTGGATACACAGATAAAATTATACTTGAGGCCAGGCGCAGTGGCTCACGCCTGTAATCCCAGCACTTTGGGAGGCCAAGGGGGGTAGATCACGAGGTCAGGAGTTCGAGAGCAGCCTGGGCAACATGGTGAAACCCCATCTCTACTAAACATACAAAAATTAGCCAGGCATGGCGGTGTGTGGCTGTAATCCCAGCTACTCGGGAGGCTAAGGCAGGAGAATTGCTTGAACCCCGAAGGTGGAGGTTGCAGTGAGCCGAGATTATGCCATTGTACTCCAGCCTGGGCGACAGAGCAAGACTCCATCTCAAAAAAAAAAAAAAAGAAAAAGAAAAAAAATTACACTTGAAAGAACTACACAGTTGGAGAATTATATATATACAATAAAAAAGAACATCTGATAACACTGCTAAGAAGTTACTGGCATTTTATTTGGTCCGTTATTGGGTCAACAACACTCACCACAGCCACTTCCACCCAAAGGAAGATTTTTTTTTTTTTGGCAAGAAGGAGGATGCTTCTTTGATCCTTGTCATCGCCTGCTGCTTTTGGCAAGGAGGAATAAAGATATGTGGAGCACCAGCCAGTGATGTATGAGGGATGTTTATACTAAAGCCATGTATCATAAGCTCTAGAGCACAGGAAAGGAGGGGCAAATGACAGTCACTCTATAGAGAAACAGCACTGGAAGGAGGACTGTTGAAATATGAATTAGAAAAAAGTTTCACTTTTCTGAAAAAGAAAAAGGGTTGTAGGAAAGGAGATGTGAACATGTAAATGTGCCTGACACATCTGCCGAGAATGGAGGGGGAAGAGGATTGCAAGAAAGCTATGGAGGCATGGCAGTCATAGCATGAGAAAAGAGACAACTTTGCTATGGTTTGGATATGGTTTGTCCCCACCAAATCTCATGTTGAAATTTAATTGCCAGTGCAACAGTGGGAAGTCACTGGAGTGGACCCTCATAAATAGATTTAATGCCTTCTTACTGGAGTGAGTTCTTGTTCTCATGGGGATAGATTAGTTCTTGAGACAGTGAGTTGTTATAAATTGAGGTTCCAACTCCTATCTGGTTCGTTTTTGCACATTTCGGTTCCCCATTTGACCTTCCACCATGTCATGCAGCATGAAAACCCTTGCAACAAAGCCAGTGCCATGCGCTTGAATTTTTCAGCCTGCAGAACTGTGAGATAAATAAACTTCTTTTCTTTAAAAATTACCAAGTCTCAGGTATTATGTTATAGCAACACAAAATGGGCCAAGGCACTCTTCAATACCAGTTTTATCTGAATTCAGTAAGTTAATACTACATGCGTGTAAGAAGGTAAACACAAAAAGGCCTGTACTGCTGTCCAAAGGTACACATGGTTCAATATGTACAGAGCCTTCACAAGGCAAAGTGATAGTGATATTGAGACTATAGTTAAAATCATTCTAAAATATCCCATGGAATGAAGAAGCCACTATCTACTGTCAGTGCTTGGTAGAATCTTTTCCATTTCTGGAGATGTGTACTTTGAAAGTTGGAATAGTATTACTTAGAGTTGATTTCAAGCCTTTTCAAAATATGGAAAAAAATCTTAAAATAAAAACTATTACCAAGTTTTCTCAAATATTGGTGAGATTTAACCGCCTCATTACTTGATAATGTAGAAATTATATTTATTAGCATAATCTGATTTCATACTTTTTTCTTCAGTAATTTCACTGGGAGGAGGGAGGTATTCATTAATGGGCTAAGGTAACTACTAAACTGTTTTCCTCAATTTGAGTTGAAAGCAGGATAAATACACCAGGCACTGCTGAAACAAAATTTTTAAAATGACCTAAATAAGTGAAAAAAACTAGCAGTGTCAGCAATTAAGCTTGAATTTTAAAATATTATAATCAATTTTTTTAATGAACAGAAAGACTTACCAATCTACATGTAAGACCAATAACTGCTATTGGGGTCTGTGCAGACTGAGAAATGTCAAAAAGATTATAGAGAAGTGTTTGGTTTTTATGATGAGCAAAAAGATCAAATTCATCTAATATGAAGATCACTGGGCAACTGCTAGTTCGGTCACCTAAGATAAAATAAGAGCATTACATTAATAAGAAATTATATCCACCTTTCCTAAATTTCCAAACCATTTACTATATTTCAGTTTTTAAAACTCAATTCTGTAAACATTCTGATAGCCTACTTTGGGTAGGGGATTTACTGATGCATATACGTTCATTCAACAGAAAAAAATTATTCAAAGGACAAACACAGCCCCGACTGCTCTCAAGAAGTTCAGTCTAGGCTGGGCGTGGTGGCTCATGCCTGTAATCCCAGCACTTTGGGAGGCTGAGGTGGGTGGATCACCTGAGGTCGGGAGTTCGAGACCAGCCTGACAAACATGGAGAAATCCCATCTCTACTAAAAATACAAAATTAGTCAGGTGTGGTGGCGCATGCCTGTAATCCCAGCTACTCGGGAGGCTGAGGCAGGAGAATTGCTTGAACCCAGGAGGCAGAGGTTGTGGTGAGCCAAGATCGTGCCACTGCACTCCAGCCTGGGCAACGAGAGTGAAACTCCATCTCAAAAAAAAAAAGTTCAGTCTAGGCCGGGCATGGTGACTCACGCTTGTAATCCCAGCACTTTGGGAGGCCGAGGTAGGTGGATCACCTAAGGTCAGGGGTTTGAGACCAGCCTGGCCAACATGGTAAAACCCCATCTCTGCTATTAAAAAAAAAAAAAAAAATTAGCTACTTGGGAGGCTGAGGCAGGAGAATCTCTTGAACTGCGGAGGCAGAGGTTGCAGTGAGCTGAGATCACACCATTGTATTCTAGCCTGGGCAACAAGAGTGAAACTCCATCTCCAAAAAATAAAAAGTGCAGTCTAGTTCCTAGACTCTAGTAGAGTTTGTTGTTGAAAAATGTCAAAAATCATTTAAATGACTAAAGACTATTATTTTTATAATTACGTAAATATAATTCTTATTTAATGATTATAAAATTGACAGAGTTTTCTATACCTACACAGAACCAAAACACTTTAAGATTAAAATATAAGGGGAGTCACTAATTAATGAACAAAACTAATGCTTTAAAAGAGAGTTGTTTATTTAGTAGAAATACAAGGTACATTTCTTGTAGAAATACTTTTTATAAACAAACTTGTAGATTATAAAGTTCAACTAAAGCCACTTAAACTCCCTTGAAGCACAACTTTTAGCATTTCAACTACAATGCTTTTCATGGGGAAAGTTCCACATCACCCTCTGGTTACATTTTTCTCACTTCAATAATGGAAACAACTTTAGTAAAAGAATCCCTTTTACCTTAGGCTTAACGCCTTTATATTTGTGTTAAAAAGTGAAACAAATATCTGATAAAAGAAAGACTTATTTCAACAAATAACAAATACAGTAGCCTAAATGACTTAATACTGGTACAAAACCAAAGGGATTACTCAAAAGTCTAGAAAGAGACTTATGTACTAATATAGAATTTTAGTATTTGATAAAATATTGCATTATACATCAGTGGGGAAAATTAGTCTATTCAAAGTCAGATCCCTACTTTACAGGTAAAATCAGAATAAATTCCAAACAAATTATAAATTACAAATATATATATATATTAAATAAAAAGATGGATCAATGAATGTTTTTATAATCTGAAGGAGAGAAAAAACTTTCTAGATAAACTTAACTATGTGGAAAACATAAAACTTTAGATCAGCAGAAAAGTCCAAACCAAACTTAAGGGAAGAGAAAAATAAAACACAAAAATTCCGATAAATAAGCATAACATAAACATTACCACAATAGGTCAAAGACCCAACAGGAAATACAGTCGTGTGTCCCTTAATGACAGAGATACGTTCTGAGAAATGTATTGTTAGGTGACTGCATCGTTGTACAAGCATCCTAACAGTGTACTTACCCAAGCCTAGATGGTATAGCCTACTAGACACCTAGGCTATATGGCATAGCCTATTGCTCCTAGGCTATGAACCTATGAGCATGTGATAGTGTAGACAACTGTAACACAATGCGAAGTATTTGTGTATCTAAACATATCTAAACACAGGAAAGGTACAGTAAAAATATGGTTTTATAATCTAATAGGACCACTGTCACATATGTGGTCTATCATTGAATTAAAGGTTGTTATGTGGCACATGACTGTACATAAACCAGGAAATTTCAAAGGTCAATAAAAATATGAAATGACAAGCATCACCACTATCAGAATTATGCAAATTAAGTAACCAGAATTATGCAAATTAAAGAACAAAATTATTCAAATTAAACTAAGAGCTGAAAGTTTTTCTATTATATGGGCAAACATAAAAATAATAATTGTTTTTGAGGTTGTGAAGAAAAAGGTATTATCAAATATTTTTACAAATTAAACCTTTAGGGTAGTTTTTAAATGTTAAAGATGGTGCCTTTTAACCCAGAATTCTACCCACAGAAATTTATCCCAGGAAATATCTGGATGATCATCAAAGTATCTCTTCTTAATTATAAAAAATTAGAAACAAAAGCCCATAATTGGTGATTAATAAATAGCACCTTATAAAACAAGAACCATAAAAATGATGATGCAGATCAAAATCTTATTACAAAATAGGTAAAATAATTTTATTGTTGTAAAAAATCACATTTATCTCTATCAATAATATACTGATATAAAGATCAGTATATCATTGAATAAAGATAAGAAACCAAATGCTAATTGAGATAATCACTGTTATAGTGGTGGGAATACAGTGAACATTGTATTCTTTTTAATGTTTCTGTATTTTATGAGAGCTTTTTTTTTTGGCAAAAGCTTGTATTACCTTTATAATCAGGGAAAAAATAAAGTTAAAACAGATCTTCTGAAACGGCTGAATATGTTAATATTTACCTTTTTTTAAAGCTTCCAGAAGAAATGAAAGGTTTTCAGCAAAGCTTCCCTGAACAACAAAATGAGATAAAATGATTAAAAGTTTAGTGAAATAAAGAACAAAAGATGGCTGTCTGATTCTCAAATTTTATATAAACACTGTATATCTTCTAGTTATTAGAGTCATTGCCCAGACTCTGCTGAGTGTCTCTATACTTCCTATCTAAAACTTAAATACTTAAGCAAAGATGGCACATCACTGAAAATGGCAATTACAATGTCATCTTTGAAATTTTATATTTTAGAACTTGAGGATAAAACGGTCAAAGAAGAAAAAGAAAAGTAAGAAATTTTATATTTTCCGGAAAAAATCTGAAAGAATGTTAAATTTATTTGAAGGTAGTTTTGTAGAATTGCCATATTCTAAATATAGTTTGAGACCTAGAAATGGATTCTACTTTGTGTCTTCAAACACAATGGGGTCTTGCAAGTCTCTAATTTGTACTGGTAAAGAAATAACCATGAATTTAAATGAGAAACAAAAAGAAAAGGCTTTTTTGAAACATTAGATACTATAACAGTGTTTGTCTATTCAAGAGTATACTGAAGAATTTATGTATATCATATCATGTTTGGCTATGTTTACTTGGAATATAGCCAAAACATTTTTGGATACTATTAAATATTCTTGATGAAACTTAGTGTAGTAGATGCATTATCCAGGTGCTCCAGATTGTGGGTAGAAGCCCCATTAAAATATTTGTTTCATTAAAATTATTAACTTTTACTTCATTCAGAGTTCATAACTAAAAGAAACAGCCAACTTTAAATTTGAGGAGATATAAAGGAGAAAAGAAACACACTTATTCACTCTCCAGTTGAGAGATCTAACATAAAAATAGCATAAAGGTTTTAAAACTTTCACATATTGTGATGTTGTTATGCTATTTCCAAGGCAGGCAGACCAAGAGGTGTTATCCATAATTTACCGTAATATAACAAATCCTCAAAGAGACAATCTGTTGGGAAATCAGTGGTCAGTTACTCAAAGGTAGCTTGTCTTTCAGGCTTTTTGCTTAAAAGATTATTACATCTGATACTAAGTATATGCTTCTATAAATACGTATTTGTGCATGTATAATATACATATATATGTCTGTTTATATCAAACCAGAAAAGCTGTGGGTTGAATTAAGTGACTTAGGTTCTTATAATGTCCAGGCTCTGCCATTTTATGACCTTCGGCAACCTAATTATGCTCTCTGAGCAGAAGCCAAATTTATATAATGAAGGAATTAAACTATTAATTTCTATAGCAGTATTTCTCTATTCAAGAGTACATTGAAGAATTTATGTATATCGTATCATGTTTGGCTATGCTTACTCGGAACACAGCCAAAACATTTTTGGGTACAACTTAAACTAATAATCTCTATATATGATAATAATAGCGAAGATTAGAACAGAATGATAAAAAATTGTCATTTTTATTATTTCACATAAAACCAATATGAATATGTAACATTTAAAAATGTCAGAAACACCTACCCAGATCAACTGGGAACCAAAAGCCAAACTGAGCATACTTAACAAGAACTGTCTTTGGCTCAGTATAGGCCACTAGCTTCAACATCACATTCTAAACAGGAGGTAGAATATTAGATTTATAGATGGGGCATTTTGAAACTGCACTTCAAAGACCTACAGACTTTGGAAGGGACAAATTTACTCAACCTTTTAGATTAGATTAACATTTTATATTAATATTTTTATAGATTAATATATTATATTAATAATTTAGATTATAATCTATAATTACATATAATAAACTATAATTATATATAATCTATTAGATAATTATATAGATATAACCTATTATAGAATTACATAGATTATATAATTATATAATTATATAATTAATAATTTTATAGAGTATATAATTATATAATTAATAATTTTATAGATTGATTATTAAAGAAAGAAACTCATAAATGCTAGGAGTCTTACACAACTATGGCGGTGTCATTGCAGCACAAAGCACACAGTTCAGAAATTAGAGCGATGCCACCGCATGGTCACCAGTAACCAGAAAATGAAGTTGGAATGTGTATAATCCACTCCAACTGCATAAGCAGTATGAGGCTAGGTAATTTCATCATGAAAATTCAGGTAGGTGCAAAATTAAATTATCATGTTTTCCTTAGGCCCTATATATTAGGTGAAAGGTAAAAGTTTAATACAAGTTTCAAAACATTTCAAGTCAGTTTCTTTTACTGATGTTGTTCACTGCCCTGAGACTATAAGATGATATGATAATGAAGTATGAATAAATTTCTGAAAACAGAATAACTGACATTTGTACAGCACATTACCATCCAGCAAATTATTTTTTAAGTTAAATGATGTGTAATGTTTTCTTTCTTCTTCAAAATAATCCTGTGAAGTATGGATAATAAAATAACGCCCAATTAACATGTAAAGAATCTGAATTCAGAGATACTTGTTAGCTCAGGATTATCAGGCAGTCAAAGGGTTGTAAGGCATGACTGAAACCCACCTATTGCAGCCTCAAATTTAGCACATTTTCTACTATACACAGGCTACTCAAGTCTCAAAAAAGTAGAAATAGGCTGCTGGAGCATGGTATTTTTAAAAATGTGTTAATCTATCTCCAGAGATACAGAATCAAAGTATTCACCTTACAGAAAATGAAATAAACTCAGAATATCTACATAAACTTGGGTTTCTTAGCTATTTTACAGCTACTATAACCTACTATGGAAAAATCCAAGTATTGTAGACTTAATGACTAAATGTATCCTATACATTACACATTTTTATGAAAGAATCTCATATATTTCAATTAAGAATTTCTGAACCTCTCCCTACCCTTCCAGAAATATAAAAATATACATGGTATAAAGACATTACCTTAAAAGTCTATTTAATAAAATAACTGAAATGATACTTACAAAAACTTTATCTCCAACTACATTTTCCAGATTTAACTGCCTTGTGATTTCCTTTAGGGCGATTTTGTCATTGATCTGCAGCAGTCCTAAAATAAAGTCCATTTAAAAGTATTTAATTAAAATTAAACATGTATTTGATACAGCAGGTTGTTTTCCAGTTAAGTAAATCTTCCCAGTCAAAGCCTGTGAGTTCATATCACTTTCTTCTTAAAACTTAGCAATAAAGACATTCGGTAGAATCAAAAAACAATCCTCCTTGGGATTAGAATGATTAAAAAAAAAAAAACCAAAAAACCCACAAAAACCAGAGTCCTTCTGCGACTCCTTCATTATTATTATTTTAATTTCTAAAAATACTGCATATGGTGTGCTAAGTAAAACATGGATCTAGTTTTCAAAATCTAACTATTAAAATGGATTTGAAATATACAAGTCATATAAAAACCCCACAAAGTTTACATAATCTCCAATGGCAAAATAATGGCATACTTACCATTTAAGTGAACTTGTAATACATTTTCACTCACTTCTTCTATTTCCATGAGTTCTTTCAAAGCATGATTTATTAACTAAATATGAAAAGTTTATGAAATAATAATAGGTAAAAGATAAAAATAAGTCCATATTCGTTTTTAAACTACAAGCAGTAAGAACAGAATATAAATAAATTGACCTCTTTAACAAGTAAGTTTTCAAATTCTTTACAGATAAAAGGTTTAACTAGAACATCTCATATCTGACTCTTTTTAAGAAACAAGAGCCAGGACTGATACAATATTCTCTCAATCACCTACCCGAACTTTTAATACAAATTTAGAAACAACCAAGTTTTAAAATAAATATTTCTCTACATGTCACATTAAACATGTGACATGGCCCTTATAAACTTCATGTCTCAGTTAGTACATTACACATCTCTCTGACAATTACTCTACTAAATATCATTGTAATCAGTTAAAAGCCCATTGAATTAAAGGTTTCTATGAAGCATACTTTTTTAAATAACATTGTATTGCTCTTGTACTGTGATATCATACATATCTCTTCATATTACCAATGCATTCTTTTTTTTAAAGAATTTGAAAATGAATGTAATTAAGAAAAGCCAAAAACCTATTTAAAGAGTAAAGATGGACTGTTCCTTCCAATATTAAAATATAGGTACTATCATAAATAAGTGAACTGGGAAAAGCAGTTGTATACACAAAATATTAATAGAGATGGCATCAAAACTTAGGACAAAAAGTATTACTCAACGAAGGCACTGGGACAACTGGTAAACTATTTTCCAAAACAAAATACTGTTTGTATTTGCAATATGCTACTTATTTGTCATTGCAACACCTTATCTAAAAAGAAAAAAGCAAATATGATCCTCATTTTAAATTACATATGTTTCATAACAAGACAACAAAAATAAAAAAAATTTCCTGTTATACCTGCATGGTTTTTAAAGCATAGGGAATTCCAGGTCCTCTGAAAAGGAGACAATCTCAAGATATCACCTGTCATACTACCAGTAATAGCCCAACTGAGAAGTGACATTTAATGAGAAGTGACATTTAATGAGAAGTAACATTAAAGGACTGCATAGAGGTACTTCTTCACCTCTGGATCAGGTCAGACACTATAATAAGAGTACATCCCTAGATGATACAGAGTTGGTCTCTCAAAACAGTGCTTTCAGCAAAAATTTTTTATTTTTTATTTTTTTTGCAATCCATGGTATTTTCTTTCTTCCATCTCTTGATATTTTGCTTAATATATTTTTTCCTAGGTTATGATTTTGTTTTAATTCATACAATGTTTTATGTTTTGATGAATTATTCAAAACCATTTCAAATCCTTTGCTAAAAGGAATGGGGATTTTAATAATACCTTCCATTTTATATATGCATAAGGAGAGTTGTAACAGATTTATAGCTTTCTTTCCACTCAACTTACTTTAAACACCAACTTATGCTTTGCTTGGATCAGCCCACTAATATTTTATGGGTTGTGTGTATGGTCTGAAATGATAAATATATTAGCAAGTGAGTCTTCAAATAATGTTAGTTCTAATCTGGGTATTGCTAAAATTTATTGTTTATGCAATCAACCATTTAAGTTAGCTTTTTTCTTGAATATGTTATCATTTCAAATATTTAAACTACATTATACACTAAAAATATTTAGTTGGTTATTAATATCACACTGACCAACATAACCAAATTTGGTCATCTCCTTTCCACATTCTTTGTGCCTAAAATTTAATTTTACAAACATACTAAGATAATTTTCTTAGACCTCCCAACATCCAGTAATTTTTATGCTCACCAACTTATACTATTCCCAAATATTATAATAAACACAGGTTTCACCAATATGCAACTAGGAGAAATATCCTATTTAACCATCTAGCAAATTTGTCTACAGTAAATTGCATGTGTAAGAGCATTTTCTAAGGGTCGGTACAGTGGGTCACACCTGTAATCTGAGTGCTTTGAGAGGCAGAGGCAGGAGGACTGCCTGAGCCCAGGAGGTTGAGGCTTTAGTGAGCTATGATTGAGCCGCTGGGCGCCAGCATGGGTGACAGAGAGCCTGTCTCTTAAAACAAAAAAAGGTATTTTCTAGGGGTCAATCTGTCACTTGAAGCCATATCAATTTTTTTTTTAAATAAAATGCTTGTAATATTATAAGCCACACTATTGCCTTTTTCAATTAACTATAGAGTTAGCATTTTTGTATTTCAGACAGTTTGGCCAAGTATAGTGTTTTAAATATACTATAATCTTAGGGTTAGGATTAGGGGTTAAAACAAACAAACATAAGACTACAGTCTTATGTTTTAAAATTTGAATTTATATAATTATACTAATGAGGCTAGGCACAGTGGCTCATGCCTGTAATCCCAGCACTTTGGAAGGCCAAGGTGGGTGGATCACTTGAGCACAGCAGTTCCAGACAAACCTGGTAAACATGGTGAAACCCCATCTCTACTAAACATAAAAAACTTAGCTGGGTGTGGTGGCACATGCCTGTCCCAGCTACTCGGGAGGCAAATGTGGGAGGATTGCTTGAGCCCGCGAGGCAGAGGTTGCAGTGAGTCTAGATCGTGCCACTGCACTCCAGCCTGGGCAACAGAGTGAGACTCTGTCAAAGAAAAAAAAAAAAAGAAAAGAAAAAGAAAAAAATTATACTATCGAGAGTTATTGTCTAAAAATAAATTATATCTGACAATTTATTCAATCTATATTTTCTCTCAGGATACTCCCACACATACAACAAATTACAAAAGTAGCACAAGTCAAACAATGCTCATCTCTTCAACCTGCCAGCATCAGAGTACATCAGGAATATATGAAACTATATCAAAATGGAATGCCATGCAAGGGACTCTTCCAGATTCCACTATAGTGAAAATAAATGACTGCAAGGCACCACAATAGGGCTCTGGTTTAAAAAGCAAAAAGTAGATAAACTGTCAGTGTGGCCAAGAATAACTGATCCATTTTATTAACTGATAAATACTATGATTTAATGCTTTTGCCTTTAAATTTCAGTACATTGATTAAACCTATAGGGGTTTATGAAAAGGTGCTATAACGTGGAAGGGAACAACAAGCAGATTAAAAAGATTAAGTTCAGATTTAAAATATTAAGCAAGATGGCTGATTAGAGACTCCTGGTGCTCGTACTCCCAACAAGAAAGGACCACAGCAATGAATGAACAGCTAAGATTTGACTGGCGTGTTGAAGGGAGAGTACTGGAGTGCAGCAGGGAAGGGGAAATGTGTAGTGACTGAAAATCCAGGAGGGTAGTGTGTAGGCACCTGGCCTCTGCAGCTACATCTCCTGCACCCCGATCAAATCTTCCCGTAGTCAGGAGGGACTTCCCGTTCTGGGGAAAAGGTAAGCAGAAGATCCCCACCAGTCCTCACCGCCATCACAAACACCTACAGTCCTTACCACAGGAGAATCCCATAGTCCTAGCAAGCCCTAAGTCAAGGTGGACAGCTGCTGGGAATTCAAGCAGTTGCATTGCTCCAGATCATGAGAATAAGGTATGCACTCTCCAACCCTCACCCACCTGTAGGCCAACCTGCCCTGCTGCAGCATGGCACCATTGAGGCCAGAGCCACCTCTGTTGTGCGCCCCGCTCTGTGGGCCAGTAGTCACTGCACCTTTCCAGTACTAGGGGTCCATCTTCATTCCACCAAGCCCACATAGGTGGCTGAACACACAACTCTAGCTGCACAGAGACTGAGCCTATAATTGGTTATGACTCTGGTCCTACACAGCAAGGAAACCAACCCCTTGCTGCCACACTTCCAGCCAGAGAACCAATCTGGCAGTCCCACCCAGGGCAAACTCTCACTTGAGGTGACCAAACCAGGGTGGGGCTCTCTCCCAAGAAGGAGAGGCCCCCGAGCATCCAAGCAGCTGATACACCCCTTGCACTGGCAGAGCGGCTATGCACCCACACTCAGAACCTGAGAAACAGCCCCACAATACCGTGCACCCCTCCCTCCCGCAGACATACCCCTAGCTTGCCCAGTGGTCCTGTGCCCACAATCAGAGCCTGAAAAATAGCCCAGAAGGTTACCCCTGGCAGGCATGCCCCCAGCCCAGCCGAGCAGCCATGAGCCATGACCTGTACCTGAGAAACAGCCCTATGGGCCACCCATGGTGAATACACCTCCCACAGGGTGGCCAAGCATCCCTGTGAACACATACTAGGCCTGAGAAGTAGCCCTTCAGGCCATTCTTGAGCCTGCCAAGCAGTCTTGTGCTCACCTCCCAAACCTGACAAACAGCACAGCCTCCCTATAACTCCATCAGACATGCCCCAGGACCAGCCAAGCAATCATGTGCCCACGTCGCTAACCTGAGAAGTACACTTGCCAACTGCCCCTAACAGACACATTACCCTAGCTGGCTGAGCAGCATTACACCTTAGGCCTACAAATCAGCCCTGAGGGTTGCCTCTGGCAGACACTCTTTTGGGCCAGTCGAGCAACCCTGCTCCTACTTCCCAGGTCTACAAAATGGTCCAGTGGGCCATCTGCTGCAGAAAAGTTCCCAGGCCAGCCAAGCAGCAGTGTCACAGGCCTGAGAAACAGCCTCACAGGACGCCTCTAGTGGGCATGCCCATAAGCCAGCTGAATAGCCTTGTGCCTGCATCCTAAACCTGAGAAACAATCCTGTGGAACCCCTCAGCAGATACGGCCCTAAGCCAGTCGAGGAACTGTATCCCTACACCTCTGTTGGGATCAAGCAGCCTTGCACCTGGATCCCAGGCATCTCCTGGGCCTGAGAAACAAACCAGTGAGTTGTTCCTGGCAAACATTCACCAAGACTGGCTAAGCAACCACATGACTATGCTCCTGGCCACATTAATAGCCCCATCTGCCAGTGTGTCAGATCCCAAGGTGATTGACCCACCATATGCATGCATATGCCCCCAAACTGAGAACCAGCCCAGCAAACCCACCCCTTGCAAAGCTGTACAACTGCCACCACAAACAACTCTCAGCCTAGGCCACTGAGACACTTGTAAATGACACTAGTGTGGATTACAGCTGAAAAAACTACACAAAGACCACACTACTGTATCCAACTAGAACCAAGGCCAATGAACCACATCAAACTGACACCTCGAGACACATTGACACAAATCAGTACTTCCTTACGAGATCAATTCTGTAAGATTGGAAAAGACAATTTTACTTTTCTACCTGAGGCGTATCAATCAACATAGGGACACATTAAACATAAAAAAGCAAGAAAACATGACACTTCCAAAGGAAAACAATAATTCCTCTAGTAACAGACAAGAATCATAAAGAAATACAGAAAATGCCAGAAGAATTTAAAATAATAATCTTGACAACACTCAGTGAAATTCAAAAGAATACAGATAGAAAATTGAACAAAATCAGAAAAACAACTTGTGATTCGAATAAGAAATTAACAGAGATACCATAAAAAAACAAACAGAAATCCTACAGCTGAAGAAGTTAATGAATGAAATAGAAAATACAACTGAGACCTTCAATAACAGACTACATCAAGCATAAGCATTTCTTAAATTGAAGACAAATTGTTTGAAATAACACAGGCAGACAAGAAAAAAAATAGAATGAAGAAAGTCTACAGGATTTATAAGACTTCAATAAGTGAACAAATATTTGTATTATTGTACTTTCAGGAGGAGAAAAGAAGGAAAAGGTGAGAAAAACATATTTAATAAAACCATAGTTGAAAACTTCCCAGTTCTTGAGAGAGGAATGGACATCCAAAGGAAGCTCAAAACTCCAAACAGACTCAACACAAACAGAAGGTCTTCTCTGAGGCATATTATAGTCAAATTGTTAAAAGTCACAGACAAATAATTAAAGCAGCAAAAGTAAAGTGTCAAGTCACTATAAGGGAATCCCTATTATACTAACAGTAGATTTCTTCTTCTTTATAGCAGATTTCTTTTTTTTAATTAAAAATTTTAAACTATCATTTTTTTAAATGATATTTTAAAACATCTTTCATCCTTCTTGTTTACATTTTAGCTGATTGTCAGAATATACAACAGCAGATTTCTTAAGAGAAACCTGACAGGACAGAGGGGAATGGGATGATACAATCAAAGCTCAGAATGAAAGAACTGTCAGCTAAGAATATAATACCCAGCAGCTTCAGAAATAAAGGAGAAATAAAATCTTTCACAGACAAGCAAAAACTAAAGCAATCCGTCATCACTAGACCAGACCTATAAGAAATGTTCAAGGGAGTCTAACATCCACAAATGCAAAGATGATGACCACCATCATGAAAACAGGGAAAACTATAAAACTCACTGGTACTGCGGATACATAAAGGAGAAAGAGAAAGGATCAAGCCTTATCACTACAGAGAGGCACCCAACTGGAAAAATAAATGAGAGGAAGTAAGAAACAAAGGATATATGAAACAACCAGAAAACAATCACTAAAATGACAGGGTAAGTCCTCACTTATCAATAATAATCTTGAATATAAACCAATTAAGTTTCCCATTTAAAAAATACAGAACAGATAAAAAAAAAAACTCAATTATATGCTGCTACAAGAAACTCACCTCACCTGTATAGACACACAGACTTAAAGGTATGAAAAAGATATCCTATGAAAATGGAAAATAAAAGTGATAAGAAAGTTGTAAAAACAAAGAACATTATATAATAATAAAAGGATCAATTCAACAACAGAATATAACAGTTGTACATATAAATGTACCCAACACTGAAACACTCAGATGTATAAAGCAAGTATTATTAGATCTAAAGAGAGATAAATTGCAATAAAATAATAGGAACTTCAACACCCTATTCTCAGCATTGGACAGATAATTTAGACAGAAAATCAACAAAGAGACATTGAATTTGAACTTCACCATAGACCAAATGGACCTAAAATACATCTATAGAACATTTCACCCAACAACTGCAGAATGTACATTCTTCTCATCAGCACACAGAAGATTCTCCAAGACTGACCTCATGTTAGGACACAACAGAAGTCTTAAAACATTTTTTTAAAAAAAGCAAAATCCTATCAAGTATCTGATCTGGCCACAATGGAATAAAACTAGATATCGATAATAAAAACAACTGGCTAGGTGTGGTAGCTCACACCTGTAACCCCAACACTTTGAGACGCCAAGGTGGGAGGATCCCTTGAGCCCAGGAGTTTGAGACCAGCCTGGGCAAAATAGGGAGACCTGGTCTATATTTTTTTTAAAAAGTAATAATAATGACAGGAACATTAAAAACTATACAAAAATATGGAAATTAGACAACATGCCCATGAACAATGGGCAAAAGAAATTAAGAATATTACAGATTCCTAGAAACAAAAGAAAATAGAAACACAACTTACTAAAACTTAAGGAACACACAGCAAAAGCAGAATTAAGAGGCAAGTTTATATCAATATATGCCTACATCAAAAAACTAGAAAAATTTCAAATAAAGAATCTAACAATGCAATCCAAAAAATTAGAAAAATTTTAAATTAAAAAATCTAACAATGTATTCCAAAGAGCTAGAAAAGAACAAACCAAACCCCAAATTAGTCAAAGGAAATAAATATCAGAGAAGGAATAAACAAAATTGAGACTAAAACAATACTACAAAAAATCACTGAAACAAAAGTTGCTTAGCTAGACTAAGAAAGACCAAAATAAATAAATGAGAAAAGAAAAAGGAGACATCAAACTGAATATCACAGAAATAAAAAGGATCATTAGGGACTACTATGAAGAACTATACATCAATAAATTACAAAACCTAAAGGAAATGGTTAAGTTCCTGGACACATACAACCTTTCAATATTGAAGCAAGAAGACACAGAAAACCTGGAGAGACCAATAACAAATAATGAGGTAGAATCAGGAATAAAAAGTCTTCCAACAAAGGAAAATCCAGTACTGGATGGCTTTGCTGCTGAATTCTACTAAACCCTTAAGGAATTAATGCCAATTCTTCTAAAACTATTCCAAAAAATTCAAGCAGAGAAAATTCTTCCTAATTCGTTCTATGAGGCCAGCATAACCCTGACATCAAAACTAGACAAGGACAAAACAGCAACAAAAACTACAGGTCAACATCTCTGATGAATATAGATGCAAAAGTCTTCAATAAAGTATTAGTAAGCTGAATGCAAAAAGATCATTCACCATGATCAAGTGGGATTTATCCCAGGGATGCAAGGATGGTTTAATATACGCAAATCAATAAACATCATACACCACATCAATAGAATGGAGGCCAGAAACTATATCATCTCAATGGATGCAGAAAAAAACACGTGATAAAATTCAACATCCCTTCATGATAGAAACTGTCAAAAAGGTATAGAAAAAAAACACCACAACACAGTAAAGGCCATATATGACAAACCCAAAACCAACATCACACCAAATGGGGAAAAACTAAAAGTTTCTCCTGTAAGAACTGGAACAATACAAGGATGTTCACTCTCCCCATTCTTATTCAATATAGTACTAGATGTTCAAGCCAAAGCAATGGGAAAGGAAGAAGTCAATTCATTCCTTTTTGCAGATGACATAATCTTATATATAGAAAAACCTAGAGACTCTACCAAAAAACTCTTAGAATTTCAGTAAAGTTGAAGGCTACAAAATCAATATACAATAACCAGTACTGTTTGTATATACTAACAACAAACTACCCGAAAAAAAAAAATCAAGAAGGCAATCCCATTTATAAGAGCTACCAAAAAAACGTAATTACTGAGGAATAAATTCAATTAAGGAGGTGAAAGGTACAGTTTTGTACAAGGAAAACTACAAAGCACTGAAGAAAGAAATTGAGGAGGATACACACAAATGAAAAGACACCCATACTCACATGATAGAAAGAATGAATATTGTTAAAATTACTATATTACCAGAAGCAATCTACAGTTTCAATGATATTCCTATCATAACACTAATGATATTCTTCACAGAGATAGAAAAAAAATCCTAAAATTCATATGAAACAACAAAAGATGCCAAATCGCTAAAGCAATCTTGAGCACAAGGAATAAGGCTGGAGTCAACATACTGCCTTACTTCAAATATACTACAAAGCTGTAGTAACCAAAACAGCATGGTACTGGCATAAAAACAGACATGTAGACCAATAGAACAGAATAGAGAACCCAGAAATTAATCTGCTTATCAACAGCCAACTGATTTTTACAAAGGCCAAGAACACTCACTCATCAGGGAAAGGGCAATTTCTTCAATAAATGGTGCTGAGAAAACTGGATATGCAGAAGAATTAAACTAGATTCCCATCTCTCATCCTGTACAAAAATCATTTCATAATAGATCAAAGACCTCAATGTTAAGACCTGAAACTATAAAACTACTAGAAGAAAACATAGGGGTAATACTTCAGGACACTAGTCTAGGAAAATATCTTATGAATAAAAACTGCAAATCACAGACAACATAAAAAAATAGACAAATCTGCTAACATCAAACTCAAAAGCTTCTGCATAGCAAGGGAAACAATCAACAGCATGAAAAGACAATCTACAGAATAAATGAAAATATCTGCAAAGTATTCATCTCATAGGGATTCATATCCAGATTACACAAGGAACTCCAGTATCTCAAAAGCAAAAAACCAATTTGCTTAAAAAACAGGCAAATTATCTGAACAGACATTTCTGAAAGGACATACATATAGCCAACGAATACATGAAGAAATGCTTAACATCATCAATCATCAGGGAAATGCAAATAGAAACCACAGTGAGGTATCATCTCACTCCAGTTAGGATGTCTATTTTCAGAAAAACAAAAAATAATAAATGCTGGTGAAGATGCAAAAAAAAGGAACTTTTATACACCATTGGTGGGAATGTAAACTAGCCAATATTGAAAACAGTACAAAGGTTCCCCAAAAACCACTACAAATAGAACTACCATATGGTCCAGCAATCACACTACTGAGAATTTATATAAAGGAACGGAAATCATTACATCAGAGAGACATCTGCAGCCCGTATTTATTGTTGTACTATTCACAATAGCCATGATATGGATCAACCTAGTTGTCCAACAACAGATGAATGGATAAAGAATATGTGTATATACACACAATGGAATACTGTTCAGCCATTAAAAAAAGAAATGAAATTCTGTCATTCACAGCAACATAGATGGAACTGGAAGAAGTTATATTAAATGAAATAAGCCAGGAAAAGAAAGTTAAACACCATGCGTTTTCACTCATCTATGGAAGCCAAGAAAAGTAGGTCTTACAGAAGTCAAAAGTAGAAGAGAGGATAGGGTAGGAAGGGTAGGAGGAAAGGAGGGATAGTGAGAGATTCAATAATGAACACAAAATTACAGCAAGATAGGAGGAGTAAGTAACAGTGTTGTACTATCATTTTTCTGTAACTATAGGATGACTATAATTAACAATAATATTTTCCAATAGCTAGAAGAAGGATACTGGATGTTCCCCACATAAATAAATGATAAATGTTTGAGATGATTGATATGCTAATTATTCTGATTTGATCACTATACACTATATGCATCAAAACATCACTATATATCCCATGAAAGTGTATAATTATTATGAGTCAATTTAAAAATAAAGTATAAAAAGGTTAATTACTACCTAAAATGACTATTTTATGAAATAAATGTTTTGAGCTATTTAAGCCAGACTTAGACAAGAAGAAAAGATTCTTAGAAAACTGAAATGCAATATCAGATTAGAAGAAGCAAATGACAGCACTGGCAGTAAAGAAAATCACATTGGCCATATGACAGAATGCTGAGAGAGGGGGAAAAAACATGAAAAAGATGGTAGACATGGAAAAATGAAAACAAAGATTTAAGAACTGAATATTCTAATATTGGATATTCATTTTTTCTAATCATAAGAAAAAATGAAAGAATATTCAAAAATAAAAGAATATTATTCTTTAGTGAACAATACCCTCTAAATTTATACTAAATCAGTATGCAGAGTATTAGTGAATTTTATGATTAACTGTTAGACATAGTCTATGAATAACTAATGCAATAAAAGAAGAAAAGGAATAGAAGTATGGAGATAGGGAAGGAATAATTAAAACTGTCTTTGTTGACAGATAACATAACTGTCTAAGTAAAAAAATCTCAAAGAACTGACAAAAAAACTAATGGAATTGAGAAGCAATTATAGCAAGGTTGCAGAATACAAGCAAATATAGAAAAGCCAAGTGTTTAGCTATCTACTAGCAATGAAGACTTAGAAAAGGAAATAAAAAACACAGTACTATTCGCACTAGAACCAAAAAAATGAAAAATTAGGTATAAATCTAACGAAACATGTGTAAGATCTTTATTAAGAAAACTACAAAAACTGACAAAAGTCTTAAATAAATAGATACTCCAAGAACGGGAAGACTAAATATAGTTAAGATGTCCATTCTTCCTATTGTGATGTATAAATTTAACTCAAAATCTAGCAATTCACAAAGATTCCCAGAATTTTCTGGATATGTACAAAGTGATTCTAAAGTTAATATGAAAAGGCAAAGTATGCAGACAGCCAACACAATACTGCAGAAGAACGAGGTCAGAAGACTGACAGTACTTACCTTAAAGACTCACTAAAAATCTACAGTAATCAAAACAATGTGATATTGGCAAAAGACAGACAAAGCAAGGGAATAGAAAGAGAACCTAAAAACAGAACCACATAAACATAGTCAACTGATCTTTGACAAAGAAGCAAAGGCAATTCAATGGATAAAAGATAGTCTTTCTCCAATTGGGCATTCATTTGCAAAAAAAAAAAAGAAAAAAAAACGAATCTAAACACAGACCTTACATCTTTCACAAAAATTAACTCAAAATGAATCACAGACCTATATATAAAATGCAAAACTATAAAGCTTGTAGAAGATACATAGGAAAAAATCTACATGACTTTCGGTTTGGTGATGAAGCTTCAGATACAATACCAAAATCATAATACATGATAGAAAAAACTGACAAATTAGATTATTAAGATCAAAGACTTCAGTTGGGCACAGTGGCTCATGTCTGTAATCCCAGCACTTTGGAAAGCTAAGGCAGGATTGCTTGAGCTCAGGGTTCAGGACCAGCCTGGGAAACATGGGGAGACCTCGTCTCTACACAAAATTAAAAAAAAAAAATTAGCCAGGTGTGATGGTGCATGCTTGCAGTCCCATGTACTCAGGAGGCTGAGGTGGGAGGACTGCTTGAGCACAAGAGGCCAAGGCTACAGTGAGCTGTGATCATGCCACTGCACTCCGGCCTGGGTGAAAGAGCAAGACCCTATTCTTGTAAGTAAGTAAGTAAAATAAATAAATAAAAACTACTCTACCAAAGATACAGTTAATAGTATGAAAAGACATAGCAACATCCCATCTCAAAAATAAATAAATAAATAAATGAAATCTTCTGCTCTGCCAAAGACAATGTTATTATTAATAGTATGAAAAGAATAATATTCTTTTAATATTATGAAATAATATTAATAGTATGAAAAGAAAAGCCACAGACTGTAAGAAAATACTTGCAAAACAAAACTGAAAATCAGAAATATAAAGGACTCCTAAAACCTATCAATAAGAAAACAAATAACCCAAATTAAAAATGGGCATAAGACACCTCACCAAACATATATAGATGAAAAAGAAGTGTATGAAAAGATGCTCAACAGCATATGTCATTAGAGAATTACAAGTACAAACAATGAGACACCAATATATACCTATTAGAATGGTTAAAATAAAAAGTTTCTTAAATTTAAAAATTTAAAAATTTGAAATTTAAAAACATTTCACATAGCCCTCTTGTGAAAACTACCCAAAATAACAGTGAATTCAAATGCAAAGAAAAACCATAATAAAAAACTCAAGAATGAAGAAATAGTGATTATAGAAGCTGAGTATGAGGACTAAAACAAATTAAACATAGATTTGAAACTAAAAAATTACTGCAAATATGATTATATATAAATGTGACAATTTGTGAAATATTGAAAGAAATTACCTAGATCTAAATTCTCAATTTATATTAAACAATACTTCAGATGTGATAACAGTAAAATCCTAACGTACTCATCTTAATAATGTAATTTCAATATACATTGCTTAAATGTTAAAAAAAATTTTGCTTCTCATCCATTTTTTTAAAGTACATTGGTCAAAAATTGAAATTTATTGTATATAATACATGAGAACAGATTTTACACAGACTACTTAGCATTGAAATTAATTGCTTTCAAAAGTTAACACCCATAATTTGTCTCCTATATTGCATAAAGGATATCAAAGAAAAGAGTAAAGGGAAATAAGTAAGAATATCTTTTTGAGGTAACTAAGCAAATATGATAAAGAGCAAAAGGAGACAAGAATGATATAAGATGTGAGCATGCACTGAAAAACTGTGTAAGTTAGGGTTAAACAAATAGTAATGATGTAGGAAAAATAAAAAGAATGCATGATATGATAGTTCCCTAACCTATAACAAAGGGAAAAACCCTACCGTGCAGTGTTGATGTAAAGAATAAATGAGAGAACACAATAAAAAGACACATAGTACATGCTCAATACATGCTATTTTCTTTTTCCACTGGAAATCTCTACTTCTTTAAGGACAAAAGACCATGTTGGAACAAACATCAATTGACAATTTTTCACTAGGAGGACAAATAAGGGGGAAAAAGGTCTGCTACACTCAAATATACCACCCTAAGTTTATAAAGTTTTACATGTCTTCTGTGATTAAAAAAGAAAAAAACAAAAAAGTAAAACATTACAAAATAATGAAAAGTATTTTCAGTATTACATAAAATAAGATTTATATATGAATTTATTTATTCTTATATAAAATAAGAATCATCACATGCCAACAAACACCAGAAATCAACAGCTTTTACCATAGTTTTTCCTGATCCTCGGGGTCCGATAATAAGGACAGAGTTACTCTCTCCATGGAGAGCAGTTCTTTTCAGCAGCTCACTTAAGTGTCTAAAATGATATAAATAGGACAAAATTTTAAAAATGAAGCTGGAATACTTTGTTATGTTGTAGTTTTTAAAAGGCATATTTGAATATGCACAGAAATTTCCTCTCTTCTCTCCCTCTGGGTACTTGGCCTAGCTTCTGAATGGTCCTAAATAGAAAAATACAAAAGAAATAGTAGGGCAGTATTGATTCTCTGAAATCTTCAGGTGAAAACGTAGTCAGATTGGAATATATTGATTTATACGATAGTAGGGGACAAGGGACAATAGTGGCAACTCTCGGGACCCTTGGATTCAAATCTCTTTTCCTACTAATACTCTGGACTTTTACTCCATAGCTGGCTGCTGGGTATTAAGGGCAAGATGGCTAGAATTCTCTCCACAGTATCAGATAACAGAAACAAAACAAAATTGAAAGTTAAAGTGCTATTGCATTATGGAAATATTTGTATCTGCTCCTGCTTCATGCTATGTGGTGTTTCTATTCACAAAGCAAAATTTTTTATTTCTATAAAAGTGTTTGTTAGCTTTATTTAATATCAAATTTGTACAATAATTTTTGCAAAACCTGGAAGGCATCTGTAAGTAGGTCCATAACAGTCAAGAGGACAGCTAGACTTACTTGTATTGTACTTGCACTCCAAATAGGTTACTATGTGGACTCTGACGACAAAATCTTTCACGTAAAATTCTTTGTACCTGATGAAAATAAAGTGAATAAATATAAATAAAAATATTACACATGATATAAAAAATAAATAAGAAAGCACATTTACAATAGTCAGAATTAGGTATTAATGAATCAATTCAACCCTCCCTAAATTCTTATCCTCTAGAGTTCTGGCACCATTTTCATATGTTAAAAAATTAATGGATTTCTTACCTATCTCAAGTCCCATAGGAAGAATGAGAATTTAGTTGTGAAGGTTTCAACAAGAGGGAGAATCACTGACTTTAGCTATATTAGCAACTTAAGGGCCATTGTAATGCATGTGAACGAGTTAAGAAAAGAATTCTTGTAAGCAGCTATATTTTGAGGTCATCTTAGAACTAAGGCCTTAGACTTAGTCATGAAAAATTATGTCAGATAATCTACCATACTCTTTAAAAAGATGGACCATTAAAGTCGTTCCTTTTTTGGATCTGCAGCTAATACAGAGGTCTTTCAAGGACAACAACCTGAGGGTGCTATCTCAGATTTGGCCCCATGAACTGGAATAAAAAGGCTCCAAGAATATTTGCTTCTCCTAGACTGACAGCATGGAACTAATCCTTCATGTACCAAAGAAGTAAATCTGAGTTCTTGTTCCATGTACAGAGGCAAAGCAAAGAAAATGATTCATTAGGGACAAAACAATACATACTTGTTCATTATCGAGGAAGTTAAAGAGTAAGGACATTGGCTCCAGAAGAGTCTATTATATGAATTTTAAAAGGTTAAGTCTGTTCTAAATTTTAATTTCTGTATCTATAAAATAGGGACAATAACATCTTATGGCAGGCCTGTTTGAAAGATTAAAAAAGGGGGCTGGCCGCTGTGGCTCACGTCTGTAATCCCAACACTTTGGGAGGTCGAGATGGGCAGATCGCTTGAGGTTAGGAGTTCAAGACCAGCCTGGCCAACATGGTTGAAATCCCTTCTCTAATAAAAATTCAAAAATTAGCCAGACGTGGTGGTGGATGCCTGTAATACCAGCTACTTGGGAGGCTGAGGCAGGAGAATTGCTTGAACCCAGGAGGCAGAGGTTGCAGTGAGCCAAGACTGCACCACTGCACTCCAGCTGGGGCAACAGAGCAAGACTTGGTCTCAAAAAAAAAAAAAGGTTTAAAAAAGGCAATTATTTGTAACACAAATAGGCTTTGTACAGGTAATAGCTAATATCTGTAAAAATACATAAAAGAACATATATATGCCTCAACTAATCATAATGTGTATTCCTCTACCTAGATGAGATCAAAAGAAAAAACTCAATCTTTTCCTTAAAAAAAAAAAAAAAAAAACCCAGAAAACCTCATTAAAATATCTTAGAGGCAGTAACGGGGTATAAAATATAAGCTAGATAAAGCTACAGTGACTAGTCAGAAGGTTCACAAATCTCAAAGTGATCTGGCATAGAAGTTAAATAGGTATACACATGTATTGATATTAAGTCAGCTGTACATGGAGGATTCGTGCACTTTACATACAAAGGTATGTAAAGCATATTTCAGTTAAAAATTTTTTTAGAAAGAGAGTTAAACTACTTCCTTCAAAAAGAAAGCCAAGTCGTATAAAAGAATACCAGTAACACTTAATTTTTATTTAAAAACTACATGGAGTTCAGGTCAAGCTAGATAAATACAAATGCCAGGGTAGAAATACCATGCTCATTTCCCTACTAATCTATAAGCTTCTTAAGGAAGAGACATACAGATAGATGCTCAGCACTTGGAATACAATATACACTTCTTATAACATTCATTATAAAAACACTCAACAGATGAGGAAACGTAACGGAACTTCCTCAACTTAATAAAGGGCATCTACAAAAAAATCCTACAGTTAACATCATATATAACAGTGACAGACTGAATGCTGCTGTTTCTCTAAGATGAAAACATAGACAAGAATGTCCATTCTTCCCAATCCTATTCAACATTTTAAAGAAAGTTCAAGCCAGGGCAATTAGGCAAGAAAAGGGAAAAAAAAAAAAAGGCATCTAGATTGGAAAGAAAAAAGTAAAAGCTAGAATTCTGACTACCCAGACTTAATAAGGATAAAATTAAATTACAGTATAAAACACTAATATTAAAAAAAATATATGAACTGACAAAAAGGGCAGAGAACAATCATAACAACAAAATCTGTTGGTCCACATTTAATTTTGACAGAGTTTGGAAAATTTTGCTTCCAGATGATTGTTCTTACGACCTTGTGCTGGCATCTCGTTAAGGTCTCGTACTGATATCTCCCTAAGGTTAGAAAGAGTGATTCTTCCTAAATGCTAAAGGGAAAATTCAGGTTAAGAAGATAACTATTTCTCTGAACAGCTTTACAGGGTAAAATATCTTGAGATTAATGAAAATACATACTAACCTGTGAAAGGCACTCTGTGTGAATTAAGCTGTTACTCTTTGATTTACGACTGCTCATTTCAACAAATTCAAATCCTTTAAAAAAATTGGCATAAATATTATAAACGTAGTGACTTAAAGAGATTACTTAAGAATTTACTGTTCTAGAATTAAAATAAATACAAGTTTTTAAAAGTAAAAAATGCTCAAACCCTAAGACCTTCAAAATCTTCGATGGCTTCATTTTGTCTAAGTACAGGCTGATTCAACACTCTCATACCACACTTTAGGCACACTTTGTTTTACTGTGCTTTGCAGATGGTGCATTTTTTTTTTAAAGTAAACTGAAGGTTTGTAGCAACTCTGTGTCCAACAAGTCGATAGGCACCATTTTTCAAACACCATGTCCCCATTTTGTGTCTGTCAGCATTTTTTAGCAATAAGGTATTTTCAAATTAAGGTATGTACATTTTTTAGACATGCTACTACTGCACACTTAGTAGACTAGTATACTGTAAATATAAATTTTATATGCACTGAGAAAAGTTTTGGGTGATTCACTTTATTGTGATATTTGCTTCACTGCAATGGTCTGGAACTGAACCTACAATACCTCCAGGCCTGTATGTGGTTCTTACAGCTACTCCTCCCTTTCGATTAAATCTTCTATTCACCTTCCCTTTCTTCCTTTTTCTTTTTTTAACTTACATGCTTCCTTTATGATTCTCCCACCCATCCATCCCACAGGATCATCCCTTATAGAAAACCTTCCCTTTCTTGCTCCACTCACCAACAATACACAAATAATCATTACAGACTAGGTTAAATGCCTCTTCCTTAAACACTCATAAGTGCCTGTATTTTGCTTTATTATTGAATTATTTTAAACAAAATTGTCTGTTTAATTGCTACTGTTTCCAAATTGAGATTTTTTATATTCTAAGCATTGTAGCATAATGCCCAAAACAAAGTTGGCAATGAATAACTGGAATGAAAAAAAAATTAATGAAAAAATTATATTTTTTGTAAAATTCTCCTCAAGTGTACCATACTCATAGACAAATGACTAAAAGACCTTTGACTAAAAGACCTAATTTTCTTAGCACTGATTTCCTATAGGAATAAATTTTAACAGATAGACAGTAACAGCTTAAGCAGTGTTTAGGTATCAGGAATTGTTACAAATGCTTTGCATTTATCAACTCATTTAATCCTCAAAACTATCATGTGGAATAACTACTATTATAATCCTCTTTTAAGGTTAGAAGACACAGATAGGCTAGGTATGTTGACCAAAATCAAACAGTATATAAATGGAAGAGCCAGGATTTGGATCCAACCAAGTTAACCACTTTTTTAAAAAAGTGTATTCTGGTCTCATCTAATCTCCAGAAGGAACACAGCTTTGCTAACACCCTGAATTTAGCTCAGTGAAAGACATTTTGGAACTTTTTTACTGCCAGAACTCATAAAACTCAAAAAAAGCTGACTTATCATCAAATCACCAATGATTAACATTATAATAATGCGAGAATGACAGCAGCAAGATGAAATAGGAGGCCCTTCAGCTTGTGTCCCCAAATAGCAACAATAATTTCACAGCCACCCACGGACAAAATGGTCTTTGTGTTAGCGTTGAGATTCAGGCAGGCGTCTGTGAAACCCCAGTGGGGCCCAAGACCTGGAAAAGTCAATTGGAGGGCAGATCTTCATTCACGTGACAGATTCCCCAACTGTGGTCCAGGCTTCAGACTTGGAAAGGGCCCTGTCCTCCCGATAGGACCTTGTTACCAGGGGCTGTAGCAGGATATGAACCCTATCTGGTCCCTTGGCGGACTGGACTTTTTCTAGGACCTCGGTCTGTACAGTGGATGAAGATATGCAGAGAAAAGACCTGTTACCAGGTGTGTGGATGGTTTGGCTTTCTCTGGGAACCTGGGAGGGCTCCTACTGGATCACTGAGTAGATTCCTTAACAGGCAGTACTGCCCTAGTCCACAGCTGAGTGGGGCTGGAACTAAGCTACAGGGTTGCTTCAGGGCCTACAGTCAAGACTTAGGTCTTCAGGCCTAAGGTGTCACAAACCTGCATGTCTCCCTTCAGGTCCTTAAGTTAGCGGGCCTGCTGTATTGAGAGGGGCTGGAGCCACTTTTCAGGGGTGTTTCAGGGACTGATGAGGGACCTAGGTCAGGTGGCCTGTTTGCAGGGCTATGGACAGCCCCATCTCCCTCCAGGATGCTGGGTAGGCAGAACTGCTCTCTGACCACAGCTGAGAGGGGCTTATGCCAAGATTCAGGGTTGTTTCAGGACCTGCTGTGGGACTGAAATCTGCCTGCCTGTCCTGAGGACACAGAAGGATGTATCTCCTGACTACAGGAGGATTTCTGTGCAGGATTTCTGTAAGACTGTGGCTGAGTGGAGCTGAATCCCCGATTCAGAGCTTTTTCAGCATATGCTATGGGACAGAGATTGGCAAGTCTGTACTGATGGCACAGACAGGTGAGTCTCCTAGCAGTTCCTTGTGCAGGCAGGGTTGCTCTCAGGCTGCAACCAACAGTGGCAGGAGCTGAGCTTCAGGGCTGTTTCAGTATTTAATGCAGGACCAAGTTCAGAAAGCTTGACCCAGGGATTCAGACAGTTTTGTCTTCTTGTGGGTCCTTGAACTGATCTCAGACCATAGCCAAGTTAAAGTGTCTTATCAGGGTCCGCAGTTGGGACTGAGGACAGTGGACTTATTTTCTGAGGTACCAGTGTGCATGAATTTTCCCAGGCCTCTTGGTGAACAGTTTCGGTAGCAGGCCAATATCCTTGATGAATATAGGTGCAAAAATCCTCAACAAATACTGGCAAATCTAATTCAACAGTACATTAGATCAATTACCATGATCAAGTGGGATTTATCTTTGGAATGCAAAGACGGTTCAACATATGTAAATCTATAAATGTGATATAATGCATTAACAGAATGAAGGACAAAAATCACATGACTGACTCAACAGATACAGAAAAAGCTTCTAACAGAATTCAATATTCCTTCAGGTTTAAAAACTGTCAATATATTAGGTATAAAAGGAATATACTTCAACACAATAAAGGCCATATATAACAAACTCACAGCTAACATCACACCCCAAAGGTAAAAAGTTGGAAGCTTTCCCTCTAAGATCAAGAACATGACAAGAATGCCCACTTTGGCCATTTATATTCAATATAGTACTGCAAGTCCTAGCCAGAGGAATTAGGTAAGAAAAAATAAATAAAAGGCATCCAAATCAAAAAAGAGAAAGTTAAATGGTCTGTTTGCAGATAACATAATTTTATATAGAGAAAATCCTTAAGACTCTACCAAAAAACTGTTAGTACTAATACATACAGTAAAGTGGCAGGATACAAAATCAACATAAAAAAATCAATAAGATTTCTCCACACTAATAACTATTTGATAAAATTAAAAACCAGTCCTAATTACAATAGCATCAAAAACAAATTAGAAAGAAATGTAACAAAAGAGGTGAAAGGTCTGTCACTGAAAACTATACAATATTGATGAAAGAAAGTGAAGACACAAATAAATGGAAATATACTCCATGTTCATGGACTGAAAGAATCAATGTTATTAAAATGTCCCTACTACTGGAAGTGAAGGTTCAAAGTAATCCATATCAAAATTCTAATGACATTTTTCATAGAAATAGAAAAAAATCCTAAAATTCATATGGACCCACAGAGACATTTAATAGCTAAGACAATCATGAGCTAAAGAACAATGCTGGAGGTATCAGACTACCTGATTTCAATACCTAGTGCAAAACTAAGATAATTCAAAACAACATGGTTCTGGCATAAAAACAAACATACAGACCCCAGAATACAGAGTCGAGAAATAAATCCATACTTTTACAGTTGACTTATGTTCAACAAAAGTGCCAAGAACACACAACGGAGTAAGGACAGTCTCTTCAAGAAATGGTGTTAGGAAAACTGGATATCCACAGGCAGAAGAATGAAATTGAACCCTTATTGCACACCATATACAAAGATCAACTAAAAATGGATTAAAGACAAACATAAGACCTGAAACATAGGGGAAGAAAACACAGGGGGAAAGCTTTTTGACACTGGACTCGGCAAAGATTTTTTTGGGATATGACTCCAAAAGCAGAAGCAAGAATAATGAAAACAGACATAAAACTAAAAAGCTTCAATCAACAGAGTGAAGAGACAACCTTCAGAATAAGTGAAACTATTTGCAAATCTTACATCTGCTAACAGGTTAAAATCCAAAATATGTAGTCGCTCCTCATCAGCAGATTCAACCAACTTAAGAGAGAGAAAATTTAGAGGGGAAAAAAAATGCAACAATAAAAATTAATATAAATTTTAAAAACAATACATTATAATAGCTATTTACAAAGCACTTACATTGTATTAGAAATTATAAGTAATCTAGTGATGATTTAAAGAATATGGGATATGTGTAGGTTATACGCTAATACCATGCCAATTTATAGAAAGGACTTGAGCATCTACAGATTTTGGTATCTCAGGGGAGTCCTGGAACCAGTTTCCCGTGGATACAGAGGGATGACTGTATAAGGAACTAAAAAAAACAAAAACAAAAACAACAACAAAAAAAACTTAATAGCAAGGAAACAACCCAATTTAAAAAATGGTCAAAAAGATTTCTCACAGGACATAAAAATGTCAAATAGGTATTTGAGAAAATTCTCAGTGTTACTAATTGTCAGGGATTTTCAGGGAAGTACAAACAAAACCACAATGAGATAACATTTCACACCTGCTAGGAAGGCTATTGTCAAAAAAAGGCAAAAGATGATGAGTGTTGTTGAGGATTATGAAGAAAGGAAACTCTTGTACACTGTTGGTAAAAATGTAAATTAGTATAATCATTATGGAAAACAGTATGGAGGTTCTTGAAAAAATTAGAAGTCAAATTACATGACCGGTAATCCCACTCCTGAATATCCATCAATATATACAAAGGAAATGAAATCAATATGTCAAAGATATATCCTCACTCCCATATACACTCCAGCATTATTCACAGCCAAAATACGGAATCAACCTAAGTGTCCATCAATGGATGAAAAGATAAAGAAGATGTGGTATATATACACAATAGAACACTAACTCAGCCTTAAACAAAAAAGAAATCCTGTCATTTGCAGCAACATAGATGCATTTGGGAGATATTCTGTTAGCTGAAATAAGCCAGGCACAGAAAGACAAACACCACATAATCTAATTTATACAGTAGTCTCTCCTTATCCATGGGAGATGAATTCCAAGGCGCCCCTCGCATGTCTGAAATCATGGATAGTACCCAACTCTCTCTATATACTATGTTCTTTTAATCTGATAACCTAGATGGCTACTGAGTGATTATGGGACACATGCAATACACAGCATGGATACGCTGGACGAAGAAATTATGTATGTCCCAGGCAAGACAGAGCAGGACACTGCAAGATTTCATCACATTACTCAGAGTGGCATGCAATTTAAAACTCATGAATTATTTATTTCTGGAGTTTTCCATTTAATATTTTGGAACTTCAGCTGACCAAAAGTAACTGAAACAATGGAAAGTGAAACTGAGGATAAGGGAGGGACTACAATAGGTGGAACCTCTAACAGGGGAACTCATAGAATGAAAGCAGATTTTAAATTTTCTTACTACAAAAAAATGGTATGTGAGGTAACAGATATATTAATAGGCTTAATTTTGTCATTCCACAATGTATACCTATATTAAAACATTATGCTGTATACCATAAATGGATAAGATTTTTATTCATCAATTAGAAAAAAAACATATAAAATATACATCAAAAAGCAAGTAAGTGCAGAGCCAGGATTTGAATGATTTGAACCCAAATAAGTTGTACTCTTATGAAATTGTTACGTATTTAGCAAACTTTTTTGAAAAAAGAAGTACAAACACATTTCAATAACCTGAAGGAAGATCAGCCAATATATTTTACATTCACATTTATTAATTTCATATAGTGACAATTAGAAAGCAAACCATGGTAATGCTGTTTTCTTCTCTAGAAATGTTAACAGGTCCTTAGCTGAGCCAGGCCTTGACAGACAGACAGCAAGCAAATCTGTGTCCTCCTTAATGTGTAAGCCAGGTAGCTAAGGCCTCAGCCACCAAAAGTCCTCTGGCTCCAGGCTTCCTAATTGAAAATTAAATAACAGAGTACTCAATTATTGTCTTGACCCTTAAGCATCTTCTTTCTTAGAAGAAAAGTGGTCTTCTCAGCTGTCTTAGGATACCTTCTAGCAGTCTTTTATATCTAAAGTTTTATCTTATTCTATTTTTTATTTTTCCTAATCAGTGTTATGAGAGGGAAAAACCTTTTTAGCTAATAAAATATCCTCAACTCTGGTTTATGATGCTCTTGACTATCAGCCAAAATCTAAAATCACAAAGAACTATGTAATAATTGTCTCCTAGATTATAAGACTAATTAAAATGTAAAAAGGAGAAAGGGCTTTTGCAGTATGTTTTATTTTGTAGAACTACATTAGCTATCTTACAGTATTGTTAGAATTAAAAGATATTTTTTACCCACTTCATGAATTAAGAAAGAATTACTCAAAAAAGCTAAATAAATGTCCACAGTTCCAAGGCAGGTATCTAATCTGCCCCTTTGCATCATATATAAATCAGGTAAGCTATTAAGATAATTCATTTTTTCTTCATGTGGGGCCAGCATTCATAAAAGAAACAACAAACATGCCACTATGGTATCTACCTTATAACCTACATAAATTTTGACTGTAAATAAAGTTTTAGTCCAAAGGTTATTTTGACATCTTCCCCCTTCATGTAATGGTCAAATATCTACTATATAATAAAGAATATTTCAAAGACAATTCTAATAGTACAGATGAGACAAGCTTCAGACTGGGAGAAAATACCTGCAAACCACATATCTGACAAAAGATCTGTATCTAAAGAACCCTCAACACTCAATAATAAAAAAGGAATCCCATTAGAAAATAGGCAAAATACATAAGTAGACATTTCACCAAAGATATGCAGGTGGCAAATAAGCATATGCAAAGATGTTTAATATCATTATCCGCTAGGAAAATGCAAAGTAAAACCATAGTAAGATACCACCACACACTGATTAAGGCAGCTAAAATAACACAAAGATGGTGAGGATGTAAAGAAAATGAATCTTTCATTTAACCACTGGTGGGAATGTATAATGGCATGGCTACTCTGAAAAGTTTCTTGACAGCAGTTTCTTAGAAAACTACAAATACTCTTACCAAGCCACATAGCAATTGCACTCTTGGGTACTTACCTGACAGAAAAACTTATGTTCACACAAAAACCTGTAACACGTATGTTCATGATAAATTTATTCGTAATAGTCAAAACACTGGAACCGATTCACTCAATGAGCCAATGGGGTTAATGAATTAGTTCCACTGATGCTTTGTCACTGAAGTCAGGAAGTACCCAGACAGTAAGGGACTGCCTTTTGAAGTTCTTCTGATATTGGACAATGCCCCTGGCTACCCAGAATCCCATGAGTTCAACACCGAAGGCTTTTGTCCAAGTGGTCCACTGGTCCCCAAACACAAACTCTCTAATTCAGCCTGTAGATCAGGGGGTCATAGGGACCTTTAAGGTTCATTACACACAGAACTCTATGGAAACGAATGTCAACACTATGGAAAAACCTCCACAGACAGAACATGATGAAAGTCTGGGAGGATTATCCCATTGAAGATGCCCTGTTGTCATAGAAAAAGCCATGAAAGCCAACAAGACTGAAACAAATTTCTGCTGAAGAAATCTATGTCCAGATGTTGTGCATGACTTCACAGGATTTACTACAAAGCCAATCAAGAAAATCATGAAAGAGATTGTAGACACGGCAAAAAGGGTGGGGAGTGATGTGTTTCAACATATGGGTCTTAGAGAAATTCAAGAGCTAACAGATACCACACCAGAGGAATTAACAGAAGACAAGGTGGAGATAGATGCTTCTGAACCACTGCCAGACAGTGAGAAAGATGCAGAACAGTGCCAGAAAACAAACTGACATTAGACAATCTGGCAGAACGGTTCTGAATATACAAGACTACTCTTGACTTCTTTTACGACATGGACCCTTCTATGATACAGGTACTGGAATCAAAGCAAATGGTTGAGGAAGGGTTGATACTGTATAGAAACATTTTAAAAGAAATTAGAAACCAAAAGAGATAGACAGAAATTACCTGTTTAGTTACACCCAGTGTGCCTAACCTGTCTTGTCTCCCCTTCTACCTCCTCCACCTCTTCTACCCCTAGGCAACAAGATCAACCCCTCCTCTTCCTCCTCAGCCTACTCAACAGGAAGACAAGTAGGATGCAGACCTTTACAATGAGCCACTTCAACTTAATGAATAGTAAATATATTTTCTATATATAGTAGATATATTTTCTAAATATCTTTTCTTTACCTTACTTTATTATAATAATACAATATATAATACATACATAAAATATATATTAATTGACTATGTTACCAGCAAGGCTTCCAGTCAAGTAGGCTATTAACAGTTAAGTTTTTGGGGAGGCAAAAGTTATATGCAGATTTTCAACTGCTTTTGGTAGGGAGGGGGTGTTTCGACCCCTAACCCTTACATTGTTCAAGAGTCAACTGCGTATGGAGGAAATTCTCATTACTGCAGTTCCAGAGCACTACTATACATCAGAGAGCTACTGACCATTTTAAATTTACTTCTGTATTGACAAAGGACAAAAATTATAGGAATTGTAAAAATGTGTCATCTAAAGCTGTCTGCTCTCTAAATTGCCTATGTGCATTTCCCCATGACAGTAAGTCCCCTACAATCTATACCTTTACAAAGGAAGGGATGAATTCTGAAATATATTCACTGACCACTACTTACTGTATCTGTATTTGAAATTTTATAGTTACATGCTAACTAAAGCAGGATGACTAAATAATCTCAAGACTCAATCACATGTATATTCATACTCCCATTTTTCAACTGAGGTGGCTTATTTATTGTAATTCTCCATTCCTATGCTTTCCAAGGGTTGCTTGTTGATAAATTCTAAAAATTATGAAGTACATCCTTTACTGCTCTTGAGGTTTCATGAGTACTTATAACTCTTCTTTCTCATGATGCCTTCCTCAGATCCAAACCCTCACTCAGAGCCTCTTTGTCTACCACACTGATTCTGCATAATGTATTTTAGACTAACTCTGTTTGGCCAACAATAATGATAACTATTCAGTAAACTCTCTGTTTTTTTTGTTTTTTTGTTTTTTTGAGACAGAGTCTCGCTCTGTTGCCCAGGCTGGAGTGCAGTGGCGCTATCTCGGCTCACTGCAAGCTCCACCTCCCGGGTTCACACCATTCTCCTCCCTCAGCCTCCTGAGTAGCTGGGACTACAGGCGCCTGCCACCATGCCCGGCTAATTTTTTGTATTTTTAGTAGAGACGGGGTTTCACCATGTTAGCCAGGATAGTCTCGATTTCCTGACCTCGTGATCCGCCTGCCTCGGCCTCCCAAGGTGCTGGGATTACAGGCGTGAGCCACCGTGCCCAGCCTTAGTAAACTCTCTTAACATCTAAAGACAGAATTAGAAAATAGCTGACACTAACAACTTATTCCTACATATAGCTCAATAGCCATTCAGATGTCAAATGTTTTCCTACCTTAGAAATAGAACATAAAAGCCCTCCATTTAGTTTGCACAACTAACTTAAGCTCCTCATCTTAGGTTAGTTCTAATCACTGTTTTTTAGACTAACATAATCCTAAACTTTGTGGGAGAAGCAACCTGGATGAACTCCTGGTGACAGTCCTTCATGTCAAATTTGAAGTTTGGTCAATTTACCAAATACCTCTCTGCTTGCTGACTAGCAATGGTATACAATGACCTGCCCAAGATGACATAGCTTACTTAACAGCAGCAGTAGCTGTTAGGTCTATTGACTCCCAATCAGAGGTTGGTTAGTCTCAACTGGCATGAAAAAAAACCCTGCAAACATCAGAAAGTTCATCAAAATCATCACTGGGCTTTTCTTTAGGAGACAAAACATAGCAGAGGAATACATTCTGAAAGAACACGGTTATTATAACAGATGTTCAATACCAACAATTCACTTCTCTTTGAATGTCTATGTGTACAATTTGTATTTTTTTCTGTACACATCTTTATTTTTAAGATCATAAACTTTCTTCCCATCGCTAAAAAGGAATACATGTTTCGTACAGAAACTCTGGAATTTTAATTAGGAATTGTGCAGATAAAATGGTAAAAAATGGAATCAGAGAATCTTTCTCCTCTAATAAAACAAAACAAAAAACTGTTAAACAGAAATACTTTAGCAGTAACTAAACAAAGAGACAAGTTAATAATAAACAAGCCTAGAAAATTCTACAGGAGTTCTCCATAGTTCCTAACTTTAACCTCACTCTTAAAAGCTATACTTGCATCAATAAAATCTCCTAAACTCTCATCAATGTATCAAATATGAAAAGAAGAAAACTGATAAAAACTGTAATTCAATTATTAAATTTCAAGCCTAAAAAAAAGAATTCACTGGGACTCAGCCTGAAAAACACCTACAAGGGAGAAAAAAATGCTAAAATATGGTGTCATAATATCTACAAAGTTCTGAGAGAGAGACCAAGACTCATACCTAGCAAAGATGTCACTCACATATAAAGGTAACAGGTATAGCCTTATCAAATAAGAATGAACTTATTTAGTACACAGAGCCAATAAAGCCTTGTGTGGAGTGTGTGTGTTGCAGGAGGATATGGGGAACTCAATGACAAAATCCAGCCAACTAAAGCATAATTAAAAACACAATTTTATACAGACACACACACACATACACACACACACACACACACACACTAGTGACCTTTGAATCCACTAAAATAAAAAACTAAAACCAAAAAAAGGTAAATAATTATAGTAGCAGGTGGAAACATAAGTCGTTACACAGTGAAAATAATCATTCAACAAAAAAATGAAAAAAAAGTGGCATGAATGCATACGGTTGCTAATTTCATTCTTCAGAGTAGAAAGAAAATGTCTAAACTTAAAACATGAAGTGTAAAAAAGGAACTTAAAACTATTTTTTTTTTAGACCCAGGGTCTCACTGTATTGCACAAGCTGGATTTGAATTCCTGGGCTCAAGAGATCCTTCCGTCTCAGCCTCCTAAGTAGCTGGGTCAACACCTTGAGCAGCTTGAAACTTTTTTTAACCTAAGATTGAGATCTTTAAAAAAAAAAAAATCTCTTGGGTTTAATAAATATCTAAAGTCCAGCAATTCCTATAATTTTTATTAGGTTAAAAATGTGGCCTGCCTACACACACACATACTTTTTCAACCAAAATGGGCTCTATTTCATAATATTTGTCATTTAAAAGAACAAGAACTTTCCATATATAGATATATATATGTGTGTGTGTGTGTGTATATATATACACACACACACACACACACAAAAAGTAACATATTTTAAATTATTTTTTCTACAGCTACCATAAGGTAAAAAACAAAAATAAGAATTAGTGGATCAAATTGTTTAAGAAAAAGAACCATGTACCTCAGCTGGATAATCAAAAGTACTCTAGTATTATGAGCATCTTACTAGTAATTACGACGCCAGGAGCTGTAACACTGTGTACCCAAAAAAAAGCATTTAAGGAGAAAACAGGTGTGAACATGTCCGATTTATTTAGTTTCAAAGTTGTCCAAGCACAGGTCAAAGAGGTAACAACAAACAATTTTTCCTATCTTTCATATAAATGGTCAGTAAGGTGGCTGGTGCAAAATAACCCTCTGGAATAAGAAAGTATTGTAGGCTGGGCACAGTGGCTCCCACCTGTAATCCCAGCACTTTGGGAGGCCGAGGCGGGCAGATCATGAGGTGAGGAGATCGAGACCATCCTGGCTAACATGATGAAACCCCATCTCTACTAAAAATACAAAAAATTAGCCAGGTGTGGTGGCCGGCGCCTATAGTCCCAGCTACTTGGGAGGCTTAGGCAGGAGAATGGTGTGAACCCGGGAGGCGGAGCTTGCAGTGAGCCAAGATAGAGCCACTGCACTCCAGCCTGGGCAACAGAGCGAGACTCTGTCTCAAAAAAAAAAAAAAAAGAAAGTATTGTAATATGTTTACCTATAAATATCTATCCAAAAAATAAGAGCTAAATTAAACTTAACTAATATTTAATATATACATTGACAAATTTTACTTGGTCTCTGTATCAGCAGGTCAAGTCATGTTACTCAACCCAGACGCCCTAAGGAAAGGGAAGAGTTCAAGATCAATAACAAGAAGGGGTTCCGAGTGGCACCATCACATATTCATTTACTGTCAGCTCATTAATACACAATGTAGGTATATGAATCCAGTTTGGAGACATTACTGAATCCAGCTGACTTACTGAATTTTTTTTTTTTTTTGAGACAGAATCTCGCTCTGTCGCCCTGGTGGGAGTGCAAGGTTGCAATCTTGGCTCACTGCAACCTCCGCCTCCTGGGTTCAAGCTATTCTCCTGCCTCAGGAGATAGGAGCTGGGATTACAGGCATGTGCCACCATGCCTGGCTAATTTTTGCATTTTTAGTAGAGATGGGGGTTTCACCATGTTGGCCAGGCTGGTCTCGAACTCCTGACCTCAAGTGATCCACCCACCTTGGCCTCAGTTGGGATTACAGGCCTGAATCACCACGCCCAGCCTCACTTGCTGAATTTAAAGATGTTATTATTTTTAAAATGTAAGTGAAATAATCTCAGCTGTTCCAACTGCAGCTTTTTCCTGGAATGAAAAATGGCTGCCTGTCAACAGCATGCTGCTTAGTAAATAAAAAACAAAAAGCAAAAAAAAAAAAAAGATTTACTTCATCTGGAATTTTAAAATAAAAGTAGGAAAGAAACTGCTTTTTAGAAGAAATTTGTGTTATAGGGCATTTTGAAAATGTTTCCAACACTGATTTTATAGCCAAAAATTAGGTGTTACCTATAAAAATTCTCATATCTATACACTTAAAACATTTATAAACATAACTTTTTATTCTATTCACAAATATTTCTGTAAATAATGTAAGTTTTATATGTGTTGACCTAAAAGGAAAGAAGTTGAGGCAAAATTAATAACATACATAGAGAGTTCATTTGAGCCAAGCTTGAGGGTTGCAACCAAGGAGCATAAATTCAAGTTGCCCTGAATATGCTCATTAGCAGCAGTAACAAGTAGATTTTTAAAGAGAAAAAGAAAAATAAAAAGGCACGCTCTGAGTTGTTCACCAAGAATCTACATTAAAATAACAAACTATCCATTGGCTACAGAGTGGCAGGGGGTAGGGAGTTGGGGTGGAGTATGGGGGCATAACTGAAGTCCCATACTACTCACATCTCTCTGGGCCTGCATACCTCAGAGCTCAGACTGTTCTGAGCATTTTTTGTTTTCTCATACCCATTTGTTAAAAATATAAAAACATACCACTTTTCGGCTGGGCGCAGTGGCTCACACCTGTTATACCAGCACTTTGGGAGACTGAGGTGGGCAGATCACTTGAGGTCAGGAGTTTGAGACGAGCCTGGCCAACATGGTGAAACTCCATCTCTACTAAAAATACAAAAATTAGCCAGGTGTGGTGGCACGTGCCTGTAATCCCAGCTACTCAGGAGACTTGAGGCAGGAGAACTGCTTGAACCCAGGAGGCGGAGGTTGCAGTGAGCCAAGATCGCCAACACTGCACTCCCACCAGGGCAATAGGGCGAGACTCATCTCAAAAACAACAACAATAGGAACAACAACAACAAGAAACAAAAACCATGCACCACTTTCCAAGAACACTAATTTATATCAAGTTTTTCTTAGTTTGGAATAAGAACTAACACATCAAGAGAAGATGAAATTGGCTAACAACTCCTACAAAAACCTTGGTAAAATTAGTGGATGAGACTAGAAAATATAATTCAAAAATACACAAATGATCATGTATTATTTTCTCTAATACCCTTACTTTGAGGCAAAACCTTACAGCTCCAGCAGATGGGGGCATTACTTTGTGAAAAGAACTCTTAGTAAATTAAAAAGATGTTTAATACTGCTTTCTTTCCAGATGGTGGCAGAAGAAAACACCGAAAACAATACCACTACCCCACTCCCTTTATTAGAAAAAAGTTAAAATACAAATTCTATTACTGTTTACCTAGGACCTAACTTCACACGGCTGACATTTCTCAAAGATAGGTAAGTATGGACAAAATTTCAGAACTTTGCCTCTCTTCAGTTCGATAAAATGTTCTTGATTTGCTAGCTAAACAGTCAAATAACGTAAAATGAAAGGTATTTTAGGAGAAATTTGAAGGTGGTTTCCATGTTTTGTTACTGTCCTTTGAGATGAAACTGAGGCAAGAAAAATACATTTAAGCTGTTTTTCAGTCCATCAGAATTAGTTTTCATTCTTTTTTCTCCCCCAGTTGGATTGTTTGTACAGAGGTAAAGATTAAAATAGAGTTAAAAGAATGGTTGAGTGTGGGGAGAAATAAGGGCCAATACTGATATATATTCCAAGTTAGAAAATAAGTAAACTCTGTTAGTTCTTCCTAAAGAGATCAGCTCAAAAATGCTATCTATATCAAGTTGGGGCACAGCCTCTGGTGAGATGTTTCCTTGAGTTCTCCAGAGCTGAAGAATAATTCCACACAAATCAACTTTTGGACCACAGGTGAATAAACCATGGTAATTACTGACAGTTTTGTAAAATCTTTTTTTCCTCCTCATTTGTTGCCAGTGAATATTAAAAGGACACAATTTACTTAAGGACACATTCAGATTAAATGATTCCAAGGTTTGATAACCTTTAGTTAAGTAATATGATGCCATGATATTTTCTCATTGATATTAAAATGAAGAAAAATATTTTATAATGTCTTGGTACTTAAACTGATTAAATAATTGAAAAGGCTTGCAATTCTCCAGAAAAGCCATGTTCTCTCTAACCTCTGAATTTCAGTAATCTTCACTAGTACATGGCAGTATGTCTGGAATCATATATACACAGACACACACAACCACACATACATATATATACACACATATGAATATAAACGTATATACATATATATCTTTTTTTTTTTTTTTTGAGCTGGACTTTCACTCTGTCGCCTGGCTGGAGTGCAGTGGCACCATCTCAGCTCACTGCAACCTCCACCTCCAGGGTTCAAGCGATTCTCCTGCCTCAGCCTCCTGAGTAGCTGGGATTACAGGCATGCGCCACCACGCTCGGCTAATTTTTGTATTTTTAGTAGAGATGGGGTTTCACCATATTGGCCAGGCTGGTCTCGAACTCCTGACCTGGTGATCCGCCCACCTCAGCCTCCCAAAGTGCTGCTGGGATTACAGGCGTGAGCCACTGCACCCCATACATATATATCTTTTAATAAGTGTACTTACTTTATAAAGTACCTATTAGAGCCTTGATATTCATGAATAAGCCAATAAAGTTGTTTTCAAGAACATGGGAGGTAAATAGTTATGAAATAAACAACCCCCAGAAGGATAATCAGAGAGTTAATACTATGATATGTTCAGTAAAGAAAGACATTTAGAAATTACTACAGTTGGCCGGGCATGGTGGCTCACACCTGTAATCCCAGCACTTTGGGAGGCTGAGGCGGGTGGATCACCTGAGTTCAGGAGTTTGAGACCAGACTAGACAACATGGTGAAACCCCGTCTCTACTAAAAATACAAAATTAGCCAGGTGTCGTGGTGCGTACCTGTAATCCCAGATACTCGGGAAGCTGAGACAGGAGAATCGCTTGAACCGGGGAGGCGGAGGCTGCAGTAAGCGGAGATTGCACCACTGCACTCCAACCAGGGCAAGACAGAGCAAGACTCCGTCTCACAAAATGAAAAAAAGACATTACTACAGTTGTTTTGATTATTAACCATGGAATACACCTTGTAAATGATACAAAGTATCAATTCTGCAGTAGTGTTGATGAATGAATAAAAAAGAAATACTAGTTGGAGGACTTCTTTAAAGTATACGTCTTAAAATGCATTTACTTCTGAATTATATAGGCTAACAAAAGAACTAACACAAATTTGCAACGTATTTAGAAATCCTTTAGAAGCTTTGGAAATGCATTATATGATCTTACTGGCACTGACATAACTACATCTTAAATATTATAGTGATCAACAGTAGTCTATGTTCTCTGAGCACATGGAAGTAGGCTACCTTCAGGATTTAAGCTTGTGAATCCAAGCTAATGTGTTTAATTGGATGGATAAATAGTATAAGGGCGACAGACACTTGAATCAACGAAAACTTTTTTTTGTTTTTGGTTTAAGAGATGGGGCTTCCCTCTGTCAACTAGGGCAGTGGCACGATAATAGCTCACTGAAGTCATGAACTCCTGGCCTCAAGCAATCCTCCTGACTCAGCCTCCTAAATAGCTGGGATTACAAGTGTGAGGTACTGCCCCTGACAAAAATATCATTTTTGTGAAGGATGGTTGCATTATATGGGACACAAGATTTAAGACTAGGGCACTAAAATTGGTGGGTGAGAAGGCACATGTAGACAAATTTTCCTTGAAAAGCCCCAAACTACACATAAATTACAGAACTGTACTTTCTTGCAATATCAATTACTTCAGGGTATATGTTCATTTGAGAAGAATAATGAATAGAATACTGTCCACTATTCAAATAAATTTTTCCTTTGCCACGTTTACAGACTTGAGTTTACTTAAATGTAAGTATGATACTGCTAGGGCTAAGGAAATGATACTCCAAAATAAAGTCCTCCAAAGCAGCTCTCTCTGACCATCTCCTAACTTCCTGTCTCTGGCCTCTCATTCTCCTGAGGCTAGCCACTGAAACTACCATCCCTCGTCCCCAAGGTAGTCCACAGAAACCAGAACTCCCTTTCCCCAAAGCCAGCCACAGAACCTAAATATATTACTCTAATGTTCCCTGCCCTCATCTTTCTGTGTAAAAACTAACTATAAAGACATATCTGACCTATTCTGTTTGATTGTAGGTCATAGGATCCCCATTCCAGAAAGGGTGCTGTTCCATACCCGGAAGGAAAGAATGCTGCACAGAGAGGCCAAGAAGAATCTATACAGACAGGCAGGCCTTGCTGGGTTTCCCCACTCAGTATATGGCTGTCCAGACTTTGCTGAACCTAAGCATACCAATGGGCAGTTTTCTCCTATATCTTTAGGTCTTTATTCTGAAGGCTCCCATGTCACGTAACACCAAGATCAAATAAAATCATATGCCCTTTCTCCTATTAATCTGCCTTTTTTCAGCTGATTTTCAAAGAACCTTCAGAGGCTGAAAGGGAAGTTTTTTCTTGGCCCCTACAATATGCTACAACTCCAGTAAGTTAATTAGTAAATATTAAACTATTTTTGGAAGGAAAAAAAACTGAAAATAACATTGCTTTAGAGATAAATTATTTAAGAATTGCTAGAAATTACCCTAGAAATTATCCTAGAAAAATCTTAAAATTTTCCCTAAAAACTTTTAGGAATAATACATTGTTTCTAATGAGACCCTTCAGCTTATGCAAAAAGCACAGGAGACTAAATTCTAGAGTCAACGAAACGATATTCTCCAATTCTGTTTTGCTAATGAATATGTTGTCCATCCCCCCATCAGCATGCTTAGGTAATCTTGCAAGGATAAATGGAAATGTCAGTTGACATTTACAATGAAATAGGATTTTTAGACAGTTGTGCTTTTTGGGTGGGAAAAGGAGAGCTAAAAATTAGGGGGTTGGGGGCTTAAAAAAGACAGCATTATATGGCTTAGAACTTTGGTACCCTACCTTCATCCTTTTCTGCAATCCCTTTTACTCCCCAAAGTTAAAAGGCTATCAATGGGACAATAATTGATGATCAACTATGAAGAAATAGGCTCAAATACACTGTTTTATTATATTTTTATCATTCTTTATATACCTTTTCTCATCATTCTTTGTCCCAATAGTATGCTATGATTATGCACGTAGAAAATCCCAAAATAACAACAAAATCACTGGAACTAATAAACTACTGTAGAAAGGTTGCAGGATACAAGGTTAATATACAAATTGTCAACTTCCTTCCTATGTATCAGTAATGAACAACTGAAATTAGAAATTAAAATAATACCATATACATTAGCAACAACAACAAAAAACATTCACCAAAAATGTAGATATAAATCTAACAAAATATGTACAAGATCTCTATGAGGATCACTATAAAACTCTGATTCAAGAAATCAAAGAAAGTCTAAATAAATGAGATCATTCAAGAGTAGAAAAAAATTCGTATTGTTAAATGTCAGTTCTTCCAACCTTGATCTATAAATTCAATGCAATCCCAATCAAAATTCTGGATAGTTATTTTGTGGATATGACAAACTGATTTTAAAGTATACACAGAAAGACCCAGGAGAACCAACACGATACCGAAGGAGAACAAAGTTGGAGGACAAAACCTACCCAACTTCAAGACATTATAAAACTATACTAATCAATACAGTGTGATAATGGTGAAAGAACAGACAAATCAAGGGAACAAAACAGAGCCCAGAAATAGGCCCACATAAACATAGTCAGCTGGTCTTTTACGAATAAGCAAAGGCAATTCAATGGAGAAAAGAACAATCTTTGCAACAAATGGTAATGGAAAAACTAGACATACACATGCCAAAACATGAATTGACACAGACCTTACAAGTTTCACACACAAAAAATCTAAAAATGGATCACAGACCTAAATATAAAATGCAAAACTATAAAACTCCAAAAATGGCCGAGCACAGTGGCTCACGCCTCTAATCCCAGCACTCTGGGACACCAAGGCAGGTGGATCACCTGAGGTCAGGAGTTCGAAACCAGCCCGACCAACATGGTGAAACCCTGTCTCTACTAAAAATACAAAAATTAGCTGGGCATTGTGGCAGGCTCCTGTAATCCCAGCTACTTGGTGACAGGTGAAGCCAGCTGGACTTCCTGGGTCGAGTGGGGACTTGGACAACTTTTCTGTCTAGCTAGAGGACTGTAAATGCACCAATCAGCACTCAATAAAAAAACGCACCACTCAGCGCTCTGTGGATTAAAGGATTGTAAATGCACCAATCAGCACTCTATAAAAACGCACCAATCAGCGCTCTGTGTCTAAAGGACTGTAAATGCACCAATCAGCACTCTGTAAAAATGCACCACTCAGCATTCTGTGTCTAGCTAAAGGATTGTAAATGCACCAATCAGCACTCTATAAAAACGCACCAATCAGCACTCTGTGTCTAAAGTATTGTAAATGCACCAATCAGCACTCTGGTCTAGCTAAAGGATTGTAAATGCACCAATCAGCACTGTGTAAAAACGCACCACTCAGCGCTCTGTAAAATGGACCAATCAGCAGGATGTGTGTGGGGCCAAATAAGGGAATAAAAGTTGGCATGGACCAATCAGCAGGATGTGCGTGGGGCCAAATAAGGGAATAAAAGCTGGCCACCCGAGTCAGCAGTGGCAACCTGCTGGGGTCCCCTTCCACGCTGTGGAAGCTTTGTTCTTTCGCTCTTCACAATAGATCTTGCTGCTGCTCACTCTTTGGGTCCGCACTGCCTTTATGAGCTGTAACACTCACCAGGAGGGTCTGCGGCTTCATTCCTCAAGTGAGCAAGACACAAACCCACTGGGAGGAACAAACAACTCCAGACGCGCCACCTTTAAGAGCTGTAACACTCACTGCGAAGGTCCGCTGCTTCACTCCCGAAGTTAGCGAGACCACGAACCCAATGGAAGGAAGAAACTCCGGACACATCTGAACATCTGAACAAACAAACTCCAGACACACCATCTTTAAGAGCTTTAACATTCACTGCGAGGGTCTGCGGCTTCATTCTTGAAGTCAGCGAGACGAAGAACCCAATGGAAGGAATAAATTCCAGACACATCGGGAAGCTGAAGCAGGAGAATCGCTTGAACCCAGGAGGCAGAGGTTGCAGTGAGCCGAGATCACGCCATTGCACTCCAGCCTGGGCGACAGAGCAAGACTCCATCTCAAAAAAAAAAAAAACAAAAAACAGGCCAGGTGCGGTGGCTTACGCCTGTAATCCCAGTGCTTTGGGAGGCAGAGGCTGGTGGACCATGAGGTCAAGAGATCCGAGACCATCCTGGCCAATGTGGTGAAACCCCGTCTCTACTAAAAATTCAAAAATTAGCTGGGCATGGTGGTGTGTGCCTGTAGTTCCAGCTACTTGGGAGGCTGAGGCAGGAGAACCACTTGAACCCGGGAGGTGGAAGTTGTAGTGAGCCAAGATTGTGCCACTGCACTCAAGCCTGGTGACAGAGTGAGACTCCATCTCAAAAAACAAACAAACAAACAAACAAAATTCCAAAAATGTAACACAAAAGAAAATCTAGGTGACCTTGGTTATGGCCATGTGTTTTTAGATACAACACCGAAAGTACAATCCATGAAAGAAAATAAAAAATTGATTTAGACTTCATTAAAATTAAAAACTTCTGCTCTACCAAATGGCACTACTAAGAAAATTAAAACACAAAATACACATGGGGATAAAATATGTGAAAAACACTTATTTTGTTACACAAAATATACAAAGAACTCAACAAGGAAATAACCCAGTTTAAAATTGGCATCCAAATAAACATCTCACCAAATAAGATACAGAGGTGGCAAATAAGCATATGAAAAGATGCTCAACATCATATGTCAATAGGGAATTACATAATCAAACAATGAGATACCATTGCACACCTATTACAATGGCTAAATCCAAAACAATGACAATACCAAATACTAGTGAGAAGGTAGAGCAATGGGAACTCTCATTCATGGCTCATGGAAAAGCAAAATGGCACAGACACTTTGGAAAACAGTTTGGCAGCTTCTTATAAAACTAAACATATTTGTTTTACATAATCTAGCAATCATGTACCCTGGTTACACCCAAATGAGTTGAAGACAGGTCCACACAAAGACCTGTACCTTCCTGTTTACAGCAGTTTTATTTATAATTGCCAAAACTTGGAAGTAAGCAAGAGTGTCCTTCAATATGTGAATGGATAAACCAACTGTGGTACATCCATACAATGGAATCTTACTCAGCATGTAAAAGAAATAAAGCCATGAAAAGACATGAAGGAAACTTAGATGTATACTGCTAAGTGAAAGAAGCCAATCTGAAGAGACTACCTACTGTATGTTTCCAACTATATGATATTCTGGAATAGGCAAAACTACAGAAATAGATGTTTTAGTGATCTTTTCACTAAAAGATCAGTGGTTGTCAAGAAAAGAGAAGTATGGAACATGAGATTTTTAGGGCAATTAAATTATTCTGAATGATACTGTAATAATGGATCATTATATATTTATCAAAATCCATAGAATGTACAAAACAAAGAATGAATTTATTCATATGTTTGTCGTTTTTAAAGAAATAAGACATTTCAAGAACATTTATATACCAAAGTAAGAAAATTTTTTATATCTTATCTTTCTTTGTCAACACCAATCATCACACTATTCAAGAGCATAATTCCTAATGGTTGAGAAGAGACTCTTGCAATATAAAGCAAACAAACATATTGTTATTTTGTAAGTATTTAATATAATGAAAACATGTTATCTATGATTATTTCTTCTCAAAGTACATGACAAAGCTCTATGATCTCATGCTGCCATTAAATGTATAAAAACATAGCTTAAAAAGACTAATATTACACATATTAGCATCTTGGAATTATTTCTGGGTGCAAAGGTTATAGGTAATTTTCATTTTTTAATCACTTTTATACTGAATGTATATTATGTTTGTAACTTTAAAAATTTTCTTGCACATTTAAATCAAATCTTGTACTTTACAATTTGAATATATAAATTTCTAAGTGTAAATTATGATGCTAAAATTCTATTTTAACTTTTAAACATGTTACAAACATAAAATGTGTTTTAACATAAAATTTTAAAAACATGATGCTCACCAGATATTGCAGCAGTGTTGGTATAACATGCTGGACATAATTAAAAAAACACCAAAGTCTAATGGATATTAGCTGAAACCCAGCTTTTTAGGGAAAATAGTTTTGGTATTTACTCATTATAAAGTAAGTTGACTGAGACATAAACAAACCATACAAGTGGTCATATTAAGAGTGCATTTAAGACTGACATGTCTGGGTTATCTGTATTAGATATTTTTGTAAACAATACAAAAAAGAAACAAAGGAGAAAGTGAAAATGTGCAAGTGAAAAGCCAACAGATCAGAACTTAATTCTTGAAAAAGTCTGACCTCACTTTGGTCATGCTATAATTTGGATTTGGTTTCTTTATCACCACCAAAGCTAATGTGGAAATTTGAACCCCAGCGTGGCAATATTGAAAGGTGAGGCCTAGAGGGAGGTGTCTGGGTTCTACGGGTAGATGCCTCATAAATGGCTCAGTGCTATTCTGGAGTTAGTGTGTTCTGGCTCTCATGAGACTGGATTAGTTCTCTGGCGAATGGCTTAGTTCCTTCCCACAAGAGTGGGTTGTTATAAGGCCACTATGCACTCCTCAGATTTTCCTCTCTTTGAATGTTTCTTTTTCTCCTTTGACCTTGTCCACCGTGTTGTGAAGTATGAAAGATCTTGCCAGAAGCCAGGTCTATGCTCTTGAACTTCTCAGTCTGCAGAACTGTGAGCTATAAAACCTCATATCTTTATAAATTACCCAGTCTTAGGTATTCTTTTATAGCAATACAAAACAGACTAAGGCAGGTCAAAATTTCACACTATTCTCAATTCCCCTATTAATCAAAAAAGTAGTATAGGACTAAGAATTTGTTATGTTTTATTGGAGGTGAGGAGAGATATGGGAGAATATAAGATAAAGGTTAAAAAGAGATTAGGAAAAGGTAGCAACCCCAAAGCATGTTTAAGATCAGTGCTTTGAGCAAGATCAGGAATGAAAAGAGAGAATAAAACAGAAATGAAAGGATGGGAACAGCTGTCAATTCCAGGTTTCATCTACCTTTTGGTTTATAATCTTCAACTCATGTCTTATTTTTCTACTTATGCATTTAGTAAAATATACAAAGCCATCCAGTCTCGTCAGCTAATACTCTAAATAATATAAACATACAACAAGTTCACTAAATAACTGGTCTTTTAATTTGGGCTAGAATTCAATGAGAAAACCATTTCTAAAAGACTTGCAGTGCTAACATGGCTCAAATTAAACAGAAGCCTCTAACCCACTTCATCAGAGGCCATGAGGCTTATTTTCTACACAGGGTAAGACAGAAGAAATCTACCCTGAGGACACAAGACACAGCAGAAGGTGAGGGTATCAGACAAAAAGGTTTTGAGGGGGAGGAGAGGATTAAGAGAGTGTTTATATATTGAACGTTGAGGCCCCCTAGCTCTCTTCTTTCACATAGTTCTCATACTACTGGCAATCAGACTTATACCCTAAAGCAGGGTTTCTCAGGATAACATTTTAAACTTGATTGTTCTTCGTTGTTGGAGCTGTCCTATGCACTGTAGGATGTAACAAGACCCCCAGATTCTATGCATCAGTTTTCAGGAGCAACCTATCTGTGGCAATCAAATAAGTCTCTAGACACTGCTAAATTTCTCTTAGGGGGCCAAATTGTCCCACTTGAGAATCACTGACCTAAAGGCAGAAGCTTGGAGAACTCTTCTTATTAGACTCTTATTAACCCTAGAAAAAAGGTTTCCAAACTTAAAGATAATGACACCAGGGGTTTCCACCCACAAAATGCCCAGCCATATTCACAGAGCTCTAAAATAGCTTTCTAATGAATCTAACATAAATTTGAACATGCAATCAATGATTGCTACATAGCTGAGGAAAGCCTCGATTAAAAAGATGAAAACATATTAACAGAAAGAATAATTTGGAAAAAGTAGAGAAAGCAGGAAGCAATAAATTTCAAAACCAAACAATAATTTTAATTCATAAAAAGAAAACATAACAGGATATAATAAGAAAATTATACAGAGATCAAAAAAGGCCTTGGAAATTAAAAGTATGATAGCAGAAATCAAAGTCTCAAAAGTTTGAAAAAGGTAAATTTTCCAGAAAGTATGAAGAAAAAAAAAACATAAAAAATGACAGAAAAAAAATAGGTCCAGGAGGTAGAATGTTTAATTAGAGTTCCAGAACCAAAAACAAAGGCAAGAAAATTAAAGAAAAAACATGAGGAATTTTCCCAGAGTTGATGGACACAAATTGTCAGACTGAAAGGACCCATAAAATGCATGGCAAAATGAAAGACTATAGACTCATAATAAGTAACATGGCTGTGACATTTCAGAACTCTAGATACAACAAAGAGAAACATTTGATAAGTTTCAAAATGAGATCGTATAATCTTCCACAGAGGAGACAAAAGTGATCTGAAGAGTGATGGAAGTAAGAAGGGCTTCTAATTTTACAACAGATGCTATGAATTCCTTCAAAGCTCTTAAGAACAATTTCACCTTTATAATTTGAAAGCCAGCTAAACTAATAGTTGGGGTAAAATAAAGACACTTATATAAATATAATACCACAGAACACTTGCCTTTCAGAAAGCTACTAGAAAATGGAATAAACCAAGAGAATACACAAGCCAAAGGATTACATAGGATATAGGAAACAGAGGAACTAGCATAGGATAGAGACTGCACCAGCAGCAACTATATCAAGCAATGGGCTAAAACTGCAGCACATAAGAATGCTCTGGGAGAAATTTCTTGATGATGGATAAACTGATAAAAATACTTGATACCTCTGAATATATGGAAAGGCTGTTTTGACAACCAGCAGATAGTTTGGGTCTAAATGACTAATAAATATTTAGAACTATACAAATGCTCAATGGTCGTATATGAAAAATTAAACTATCAATGGGAAGATGGGGGGAATGGATGGGATGTTTGTGGAAAAAGGCTAAATCTACATCACCTATAGTAAGTCAAGAGATAATGCCTAAAACTGAAAAAACAGGAGGTAGCAATATAAAATGTTATTTAGAGATACAGAAGTATATACCAAAAGAATAAGCCAAAAAAAGTTTTAGAAGTATTTCCCTCTATTTGGGGAAAACTGGGGTAGTGACAGCTACCTTGTCCAACATCACAGCCTTCCTGGGATTAAGCAAATAAGGCGATAAAGGCCCAATCATTTCGTTGCACCATGGTATCAATCTGAAGGAAAATATTCTGGAGAACCTAACCTGTGACAAAGAAGTAAGAACTGTTTTTAATCATAAGCTATGGAGAAGCAGTTAAAAACTTAAGCATGTGTTCTTTTACCTTTGCAACAGTTAAAAGAAAAAGAGAAAGAGAAGAAACAGGCTGCTTAAATATATTTTCTAATTTCATTAACTTGGCTTCTTATACTGCAGAGCCGAATGTTATTTTAGAAATTTAAAGCCCATCAGACTAACAACGGATCTCTCTGCAGGAGCCCTATAAGCCAGAAGAGAGTAGGGGCCAATAGTCAACATTCTTAAAGAAAAGAATTTTCAACACAGAATTTCATATCCAGCCAAACTAAGCTTCATAAGTGAAGGATAAATAAAATCCTTTATAGACAAGCAAATGCTGACAGATTTTGTCACCACCAGGCCTGCCTTACAAGAGCTCCTGAAGGAAGCACTAAATATGTAAAGGAAAAACTGGTAACAGCCACTGGAAAAACATACCAAATTGTAAAGACCATTGACACTATGAAGAAACTACATCAACTAACGGGCAAAATAACCAGCTAGCATCATAATGATAGTACCAAATTCACACATAACAATATTAACCTTAAATGTAAATGGGCTAACTGGCCCAATTAAAAGACACAGACTGGCAAATTGGATAAAGAGTCAAGACCCATCGGTGTGCTATATTCAAGAGACCCACCTCACTTGCAAAGACACACAAAGGTTCAAAATAAAGGGATGGAGGAATATTTACCAAGCAAATGGAAAGCAAAAAAGAGCAGGGGTTGCAATCCTAGTCTCTGATAAAACAGACTTTAAACCAACAAAGATAAAAAAAGACAAAGAAGGACATTACATAATGACAAAGTTATCAATGCAAAAAGAAGTGCTAACTATCCTAAATATATATGCACCCAATAAGGGAGCACCCAGATTCATAAAGCAAGTTCTTAGAGACCTACAAAGAGACTTAGACCCCCCCACAACAATAGCAGTGGGAGACTTTAACACCCCACTGTCAATATTAGACAGATCAACAAGACAGAAAATTAACAAGGACACTCAGGACTTGAACTCAGCTATGGACCAAGTGGACCTAATAGACATCTACAGAACTCTCCACCCCAAATCAACAGAATATACATTCTTCTCAGCACCACATCGCACTTATTCTAAAATTGACCACATAATTGGAAGTAAAACACTCCTCAACAAAGGCAAAAGAATGAAGTCATAACAAACAGTCTCCCAGACCATAGTGCAATCAAATTAGAACTCAGGATTAAGAAACTCACTCAAAACTGCACAACTATGTGGAAACTGAACAACCTGCTCCTGAATGAATACTGGGTAAATAACAAAATTAAGGCAGAAATAAATACATTCTTTAAAACCAATGAGAACAAAGACACAATGTACCAGAATCTCTGAGACACAGCTAAAGCAGTGTGTAGAGGGAAATTTATAGCACTAAATGCCCACAGAAGAAAGCAGAAAAGATCTAAAACCAACACCCTTACATCACAATTAAAAAAACTAGAGAAGCAAGAGCAAACAAATTCAAAAGCCAGCAGAAGACAAGAAATAACTAAGACCAGAGCAGAACTGAAGGAGATAGAGACACAAAAACCCCCTCAAAAAAATAAATGAATCCAGGAGCTGCTTTTTTGAAAACTTTAACAAAATAGGTAGACCGCTAGCCAGACTAATAAAGAAAAGAGAGAAGAATCAAATAGACACAATAAAAAATGATAAAGGGGATATCACCACTGATCCCACAGAAATACAAACTACCATCAGAGAATACTATAAACACTTCTACACAAATAAACTAGAAAATCTAGAAGAAATGGATGAATTCCTGGACACAGACACCATCCCAAGACTAAACCAGGAAGAAGTCGAATCCCTAAATAGACCAATAGCAAGTTCTGAAATTGAGGCAGTAATTAATAGCCTACCAACCAAAAAAAAGCCCAGGACCAGATGGATTCACAGACAAATTCTACCAGAGGTACAAAGCGGAGCTGGTACCATTCCTTCTGAAACTATTCCAAATAAAAGAAAAAGAGGGACTCCTCTCTAACTCATTTTATGAGTCCAGCATCATCCTGATACCAAAATCTGGCAGAGACACAACAAAAAAAGAAAATTCCAGGCCAATATCCCTGATGAACATCAATGCAAAAATCCTCAATAAAATGCTGGCAAACTGAATCCAGCAGCACATCAAAAAGTTTATCCACCATGATCAAGTTGGCTTCATCCCTGGGATGCAAGGCTGGTTCAACATATGCAAATCAATAAATGTAATCCATCACATAAACAGAACCAATGAGAAAAACCACGATTATCTCAATAGATGTAGAAAACGCCTTCGACAAAATTCAACACCCCTTCATGCTAAAAACTCTCAATAAACTAAGAATCGATAGAACGTATCTCAAAATAATAAGAGCTATTTATGACAAACCCACGGCCAATATCACACTGAATGGGCAAAAACAGGAAGCATTCCCTTTGAAAACCGGCACAAGAAAAGGATGCCCTCTCTCACCACTCCTATTCAACATAGTATTGGAAGTTCTGGCCAGGGCAATCAGGCAAGAGAAAGAAATAAAAGGTATTTGAATAGGAAGAGAGGAAGTCAAATTGTCTGTTTGCAGATGACATGATTGTATATTTAGAAAACCCTGTTGTCTCAGCCCAAAATCTCCTTGAGCTGATAAGCAATTTCAGCAAAGTGTCAGGATACAAAATCAATGTGCAAAAATAACAAGCATTCCTATATACCAATAATAGACAAACAGAGAGCCAAGTCATGAGTGAACTCCCATTCGCAATTCCTACAAAGAGAATAAAATACATAGGAATACAACTTATAAGGGATGTGAAGGACCGCTTCAAGGAGAACTACAAACCACTGCTCAAGGAAATAAGAGAGGACACAAACAAATGGAAAAACATTCCATGCGCATGGATAGGAAGGATCAATATCATGAAAATGGCCACACCGCCCAAAGTAATTTATAGATTCAATGCTAAACCCATCAAGCTACCACTGACTTTCTTCACAGAATTAGAAAAAAAACTACTTTAAATTTCATATGGAACCAAAAAAGAGCCCGCATAAGCCAAGACAATGCTAAGCAAAGAGAACAAAGCTGGAGGCATCACGCTACCTGACTTCAAACTATACTATAAGGCTACAGTAACCAAAGCAGCATAGTACTGGTACCAAAACAGATATACAGACCAATGGAACAGAACAGAGTCCTCAGAAATAACACCATACATCAACAACAACCATCTGATCTTTGAAAAACCTGATGACAACAAGCAATTGGGAAAGGATTCCCTCCCTATTTAATAAATGGTGTTGGGAAAACTGGCTAGCCATATGGAGAAAACTGAAACTGGCCCCCCCTTCCTTACACCTTATACAAAAATGGATTAAAGACTAAAACATAAGACCTAAAACCATAAAAACTCTATAAGAAAACCTAGGCAATATCATTCAGGACATAGGCATGGGCAAAAATTTCATGACTAAAACACCAAAAGCAATGGCAACAAAAGGATACGAACAGACACTTCTCAAGAGAAGACATTTATGTGGCCAACAAACATGTGAAAAAAAGCTTATCATTACTGGTCATGACAGAAAAGGAAATCAAAACCACAATGAGATACCATCTCATGCCAGCTGGAATGGTGATCATTAAAAAGTCAGGAAACAACAGATACTGGAGAGGATGTGGAAAAACAGGAACGCTTTTACACTGTTGGTGGGAACATAAATTAGTTAAACCATTGTGGAAGACAATGTGGCGATTCCTCAAGGATCTAGAACCAGAAATACCATTTGACCCAGCAATCCCATTACTGGGTATATACCCAAAGGATTATAAATCATTCTACTATAAAGACACATGCATACGTATGTTTATTGCAGCACTGTTCACAATAGCAAAGACTTGGAACCAATCCAAATGTCCTTCAATGATAGACCAGATAAAGAAAATGTGGCACATATACGCCATGGAATACTATGAAGCCATAAAAAAGGATGAGTTCATGTCCTTTGCAGGGACACGGATGAAGCTGGAAACCATTATTCTCAGCAAACTAATACAGGAACAGAAAACCAAACAACGCATGTTCCCATAAGTGGGAGCTGAACAATGAGAACACATGGACACAGGGAGGGCAACATCACACACTGGGGCCTGCTGGGGGATGGGGGGGCTAAGGGAGGGATAGCATTAGGAAAAATACCTAATGTAGATGACAGGTTAATGACACGTGTATACCTATGTAACAAACCTACATGTTCTGCACATGTATCCCAGAACTTAAATTATAATAAAAAAGAAAAATTTAAAATAGACATTGTTTTTCCTTGCAGAGGAGGCAGAACAAGATTGCTGAAGAGAATCCCCCAGGAATCATCCCGTAGCAGGAACACCAAACTGAACAACTATCCATGCAAAAAAAAAAAAAAAAAAAAAAAACAACCTTCATAAGAATCAGCTGGCACAGTGGTACATGCCCATAATCTCAGCACTTTGGAAGGTCAAGGCGAGTGGATCATTTGATCTCAGTTCAAGACCAGTCTGGGCAACCTGATGAAACCCTGTCTTTACAAAATATGAAAAAATTAGCTGGGCATGGTGGCATGTGCCTGTAGTGCCAGCTACTCGGGAGGCTGAGGTGGGAGGATCACTTCAGCCCAGGAGGTCAATTGAGGCTGGAATGAGTTGAGATCACGCCATGCACTCCAGCCTGGGTGACAGAGTGAGACCCTGCCTCAAAACAAACAAATAAACACACTAACAAACAAACAAAAAATCCAAAATCAGGTGAGTAATCACGGCACCTGGTTTTAACATAATATCAAGGAAAGAAGCATCGAAGAGGGTAGGAAAGACAGTCTTGCGCTGACTACACCAACCCTCCTCCAACCCCAGGCAGCACAGCACTGAGATAGAATCTGTGTGCTTGGGAGAGAGAGCGAAAGTAAGTATGGGACTTTGCGCTGGAACTCAGTGCTGCTCTGTAACAGCAGAACACAACACAGGGCATTCTGCTGGTGCCCACAGAAGGAGCATTTAGCTTAGTCCTGGGCCAGAGAGAAATCCTCCCCCCAAGGAGAGTAATTGGTTTTCATCACATTCTGACTAAAGTAGTCTAGGGCCCGGAATAAATTGGAGTGACAGGCCACAAGGACTGCATCCTTTGGCAAGCCTTGGTACTGCACTGGCCTTGGAGGTAATGGACTTAAGATAAAACCCAGTGCAATACCACCCGTGGCAGCTAAGGGAATCCCTGAGGCACCCCTCCCCAACTACTTCAGCTTGGGGTAAGGAAAAGGAAGAGTAGACAGAACTTTGTTTTGCAACCGGAGTATTGGTTCAGTCACAGTAAAATAAAGCAAAAGACAGATTTCTGAAGCTTTTGATAGCAAGCTTTTGCTCCGGGATGGCATTTATAGATTGACCCTAGGCAGGAAGGGAATGGCTGCCATGATGGGATGGACTCAGTCTTGGCAGAATTCACCACCTGCTAACTAAAGTGGCCTTTGGCCTTGAATAACCAGTGGCAGTCACGCAGGACTGGCCGTGGACCTTGGGTGAGCCCCAATACTGTGCTGGTCTGCAATGCTTCAGAGGCAACTCAGCATAGTTCCAACTGTGGTGGCTACAGGAATGCCTGTATCACCCCCCACCAACACTGGGCAGGCCAGTACAGAGAAAGACTCCTGATTGAAGGAAAGGGAAGGTAGAGAGCAAGAGACTCTGCCTGGTAACCCAGGGAATTCTCCCAATTATCTTCCCAAGTCCATCAGGACTGTGTATGTAGGAGTCTGCAAGACTCACAGCGTTCCTGTGCTTTGGATGCTCCTTAATGCCAAAATGGCTGCAGTGACTACAGGCTTAGGTCACAACACTCAATCTGCTTTGATTTCCTGGAAAGCCCCCTGGAGAGTGACAGGAATGAACAAACCCAAACTGTGAAGACTAGCTCTTCGATGCCTAGACATCAATGAATATCCACAATTATCAAGAACATCTAGGAAAACAGGACCTCACCAAACAGACTAATCCTGGAGCAATAAAGATACGTGACCTTTTAGATGGGAAATTCAAAATAGCGGTCTTGAGAAAGCTCAATTTAATTCAAGATAAAAGAGATAAAAAATTCAGAATTATATCAGAGAAACTTAACAAAGAGACTAAAATGATGAACAAGCAGAAATTCTGAAGCTCGAAAATTCAACAAGCTGAAAATGCATCAGTCTCAACAGCAGAAGAATAAATTAGTGAGCTTGAAGACAGGTTTATGAAAATACAGTCAGAAGAGAAAAAATAATAAAACAATAATGAAGTATGCCTACAAAATCTGGAAAATAGCCCCCAAAAGTCATAATCTAAGAGTTACTGGCCTTAAAGAGGGCTTACAGAAAGAGATTGAGGTAGAAAGTGTTTTCAAAGAAATAATAGCAGAGTACTTTTCAAACTGAGAGAAAGATATGAATATACAGGTACAAGAAGGTCAAAGAACACCAAATAGATTCAACCCAAATAAGATTACCTTAAGGCATATAATAATTAAAGTCTCAAAAGTAAAGGACAAAGAAAGGATCCTAAAAGCGGCAAAAGAAAAGAAGTAACTTCATATGAAGGAGTTATACTACATCTGGCAGCAAACTTCAGCAGAAACGCTACAGGCCAGAAGAGAGTAGGATGACAAACTTTAGCAGAAACCCTGGCAGGCCAGAAGAGAGTAGAATAGTATTAGGTTGGTGCACAAGTAACCACGGTTTTTGTAATTACTTTTAATGGCAAAAACCACGTTAACTTTTGCACCAATCTAATACATCCACCGAAATTATCCTTGAAACAGGGAGACATGAAGACTCTCCTAGACTAATAAAAGCTGAGGGATTTCATCAACACCAGACTCATCTTTCAGAAAATGCTAAAGGGAAGTTCTTCAATCTGAAAGAAAAGGACATTAACAAGCAACAAGAAATCATCTGAAGGTATAAAACTCACTGGTGAAAGTAAGTGCACAGATAAATACAGAATACTCTAACCGCTCATATCTTTAGCAGGAAGATTAAAAGACAAACCTATATTGTTAGAAGAGTTCTAAACTCTACCTTATCTAGAGAACCTTCTTCTTTTAGAAAATCAAGCAAAACAACTAAGCCAAGACATGTTAAGAAAAGTTTGAAAAGAAAGCTGTAAGGAAATACAAGGGGAGGGATTGTTAGATATGAGTTCTAAATTTCTTTTCAAAGAATTAGTGTGTCAGTATGTTCAATTCTTTGCCTTCTAGTTTTAAACTTAACTTCCTCGTAAAGCAACCTTTTTCGATTACCTACTCCACCCTGACTCATTCTGATCATCTGCTCCACCCAACATTCCAATCACCTGCTCCACCCTAACTCATTCCAATTACCTGCTACCTGCTCTGCCCTGACTCCCGCCAAAGCATTCACCCTGTCATTCTCTTTAAATTAGCCAATTGGAATTAGTTTAGCCCGTGCGGTCTAACCCCAGCCAATAGGGGAACGACAGAGCAGCAGGGGCCACATACGTCAGGGATTAGAACCCCTTCCCATCCCTTGTCCAAATGTGCGCTCACCATTGTTCCATCTGTAAGGGTGCACCCTTCTATATAGAAGTAGCTTGCCTTGCTGAATATTAAAAAGAAAATTTTGTATTCGAGTGCTATTTCTTTTGCAGCATCGAAACTTTCTATATAACACTATCAAAAAAAAACTACTCCAAAACTTAAAATATAAAAATATATAGAGACAAAAAGTCAAAAAGTGAAGGGATGGAGTAGAAGTGTACAGGTTTTTAGTTTTTTCTGTGCGTGTATTTTTTCTTTTCTTTGCAATCAGAGTTGTCATCAGTTGCAAATAATTGGCTATAAATTGTTATTTGCTAACCTCATAGTAACCACAAAACAAAAACCTCTAATAGGTGCACAAAAAAATAAAAAGCAAGAAATTAAAACATACTACCAAAAAATAATTATCACAAAGGAAAACAAGGAAAAAAATGGGGGAAAAGCCCTAGAAAATAACCAGAACAACAATAAAAAGGCAGTAGTAAGTCCTTACCTATCAATAATAATACTGAATGTGAATGGACTAAATTCTTCACTATAAAAACATAGACTAACAACAAAAAGACGGAAAAAGATACTGCACCAAACAGAAACCCAAAAAGAGCCCAAGTAGCTTTGTATCTATTTTTAGATAAAATAGATTTCAACATAAAAACTATGAAGAAAGAAAAAAAGGTTATCATATAATACAAAAGGTTTTAATTCAGCAAGAGGACATAAAAATTATAAATACATATCTATCCAACACAGAAGCATCTAGATATATAGAGTCAAGTGTATTAGAGTTAAGGAGACAGAACCCAATACAGTAATGACTTGGGACTTCAACAGCCCACTTTCACCATTGGACAGATCATCTAGACAGAAAGAAACAATGAATTTAATCTGCACTATAGATTAAATGGACCTAATAGACATTTACAGAAGCTGTCATCCAACAGCCGCAGAATACATTCTTCTCCTTAGCACATGGAACATTTCTCAAGGATGGATCCTAAATTCTCCAATCAAAAGACACAGAAGAGCTGAAGGGCTAAACAAAACAAGGCCCTACTACCTGCTACATATAAGAAACCCACTTCATTTATAAAAACATAGATAGACCAAAAGATGGAAAGAGACATTGCATGCAAACAGAAATCCAAAAAGAGCACCATCATGTTAGGCCGCAAAACAAGTCTGATAAAAAGTATATTTTCTAACCACAATGGAATAAAAGTAGAAATAAATAACAAGTGGAACTTTGGAAACTATACAAACATATAAGAATTAAACAATACGTGCCTGAACAACCAATGAAGTAATTAAGGAAATTAAAAAATGTCTTGAAACAAATGAAAATGGAAACACAACCTACTAAAACTTATGAGATACAGTTAAAGCTAACACTAAAGGGAATGTTTATAGCAATAAATGTGCAAATCAAAAAGTAGAAAACCAAGAAATAAACAACCTAGTAATGCATCTTAAAGAACTAGAAAAGCAAGAGCATGCCAAGCCCCAAATTAAGAAGAGAAATAATAAAGAAAACAAGAAAATAAATAATAAAAAACAGAAATAAAATTGAGACAAAAAAATAGAAAAGATCAATGAAATGAAAAGGGTTGTTTGGAAAGACAGACAAAATCAATGAACCTTTACCCAGACTAAGAAAAGAAAAAAAAGAAGATCCAAATAAAATCAGAGACAAAAAAGGAGACATTACAATTGATATCACAAAAATTCAAAGGATCATTGGAGACCATTTGAACAACTGCATGCCAATAAATTGTAAAACCTAGAAGAAACGAATAAATTCCTAGGCACATACAGCCTAAGAAGAATGAAACATTAAGAAAACCAAAATCGAAATAGACCCATAATAAGTTTCAAGATAGAAACAATAATAAAAAGTCCCCCATCACAGAAAAGGCCAGGACTTCATGGCTTCACTGAGTTCTACCAAACATTTAAAGAAGAACTAACATCAATCCTACTCAAATCATTCTCCAAAATCAAGGAGGATCTCCAAATTCATTTTATGAGGCCAGATTTATTCTTTTTTTTTTTTTTTTTTTTTTTGAGACAGAGTCTCACTCTGTTGCCCAGGTGATCTGCAACCTCCACCTACTGGGTTCAAGCGATTCTCCTGCCTCAGCCTCCAGATTAGCTGGGATTACAGGCATAAGCCACCATGCCCAGCTAATTTTTGTATTTTTTGTAGAGATGGGGTTTCACCATGTCGGCCAGGCTGGTCTCAAACTCCTGGCTTCAAGAGATCTGCCTGCCTCAGCCTCCCAAAGTTCTGGGATTACTGGCGTGAGCTACCATGCCTGGCCCCAGATTTATTCTGATACCAAAACCAGACAACGATACAACAACAACAAAAAAGAAACTACAGGCCAGTATCTCTGATGAAAATAGATATAAAAATCTTCAACAAAACACAGCAAACCAAATTCAACAGCACATTAAAAAGATCATCATAATCAAGTGGGATTCATCCCAGGGATGTAAGGATGGTTCAACATATGTAAATCAATCAGTGTGATACATGGTATCAACAGAATGAAGGACACAAAGTGTATTGTCATTTCAATAGATGCCAAAAAAATCTTTTTTGATAAAATTCAATATCCCTTCATAAAAACTCTCAGCAAACTGGGGACAGAAGGATCATCCCTCAACATGATAAAGCCATACACAACAAACCCACAGTTAGTATCAGACTGAATGGGGGAAAAACTGAAAGCCTTTATTCTAGGATCTAGAAGAAGGATGGGCACTTTCACCACTATTACTCAAGTTAGTAACAGAAGTCCTAGCCAGAGTAAACAGACAAGAGAATGAAATAAAGGGCATTTAAATTGGAAAGGAGTAAGTAAAATTATCATTGTTTGCAGCTCATGTGATCTTATACTAACCTAAAGACTCCAACAAACGACTATTAGAACTAATAAATTCAGTAACATTGCAGAATACAAAATCAACACACAAAAATCCATAGAATTTCTCTATGCCAACAGTGACAACCTATCTGAAAAAGAAATCAAGAAGGTGATCCCATTTACAATAGCTACAAATAATATTAAATATCTAGAAATAAACTTAACCAACTACAATGCAAACTATCAAACATTGATGAAATTAATTGAAGAGGACACAAACAAATGAAAAGACATCCCATGCTCATGGGTTGAAAAAAATTGTATTGTTAAAATGACAATACTTCCCACAGCAATCTACAGATTCAAAGCCATCCCTATCAAGAGCAATGACATTCTTCACAGAAATAGAAAAAAAAAATCCTAAAATTGTATGGAAGCACAAAAGACCCCAAATAGCCAAAACAATCCTGACCAAAAAGAACAGAGCTGGTAACTGGTAGACTTACCACACTACCAAACCTCAAAATATACTACAACGCTATAGTAACCAAAATAGCACGATAGTGGCATAAAAACAGACATGTAGAACAACAGAACAGAGAGTCCAGAAATTAATCTGTGTATTTAAAGCCAATTAGTTTTTTACTAAGGTGCCAAAAACACTCATTGGGAAAGGACAGTCTCTTCAATAAATGGTGTTGGGAAAACTGGATGCCCACATTCAGAACAACAAAAGTAGACCCCAACTCTTGCCATATACAAAAATCAAAGAAAAATGCATTAAAGACTTACATCTATGAAACTAATCAAGGAAACCATTAGGCAAAAACTCCAGGACATTGGTCTAGGCAAAGACTTCTTAAATAAGACCTCAAAAACACAAGCAACTAAAGCAAGAAAATAAAATAAAATAACAACAAATGAGATCTCTCCAAGCCAAAAAGCTTCTGCACAGCAATGAAAACAATAAAATGAAGATATAACATGTAGAATGGGAGAAAATATTTCAAACTAATATCTGACAAAGGATTAATAACCAGAATATATAAGAATCTCAAACGACTCAATAGGAAAAAAAAATCTGATTTTAAAATGGGCAAAAGATCTGAGGAGACATTTCTCAAAAAGACATACAAATGGCAAACAGGCATATGAAAAAAATGTTCCACATTATTAATAATCAGAGAAATACAAATCAAAACTATAATGAGGTATCAACTCACTCCAGTTAAAATGGCTTTTATCGAAAAGGCAGTCAATATCAGATGCTGGTGAGAATGTGGAGAAAGGGGAACCCTTGTACACTGTTGGTGGAAATGTAAACTGGCACAGTCACAACAGAGAACAGTATGGAGCTTCCTAAAAACACAACAAATAGAACTATAATCCAGCAATCCCACTACTGTGTATATACCCAAGAGAAAGGAAATCAGTATATAAAAGGTATCTGTACTCCCATGTTAACTGCAGCACTATACACAATAGCCAGGATATGGAATCAACCTAACTGTCAATCAATGGATGGATAAAGAAATGTGGTACATATACACAATGGAATGTTATTCAGCCATAAAAAAAAAATGAAATCCTGTCATTTTCAACAATATGGATGTGACTGACATTATAAGGGAAATAAGCCAGGCATAGAAAGACAAGTATCACATGTTCTCACCCATATGTGGAAGCTTCAAAAAAATTGAAGTCATAGAGATAGTGAGTAAAAAGATGTTAGCAGAGGCTGGGAAGGGTAGTGTTGAGAGGAGAATCAAGAGGAGATGGTTAATGGGTAGAAAAATATAGTTAGATAGAAGGAATAAAATATAGTGTTCAGTAGCACAATATAGTAATTACAGCTAACAATAATTTAGTGTATGTTTTAGAACAATTAAATGAGTGGAAATGAAATGTCCCTAACACAAAGAAATGACAAATACTTGAGGTAATGGATATCCCAATTACCTGATTTGATCATTACACATTGTATGCTTATATCAAATATCACATACTCCCCATTTTATGTATCCATAGTAATTAAAAATTAAAATTTTTAAATATATGAGTTAAGTTAAAAAAATTTTGGCTCAAAGCATAAATATATTAAAATCAAATCTCAGAAGTAAAAAAGAAAGACAATTAGGGTTTTATTTATGGTAGTGGCAGACAGGACCAACCTTTCTGCTGACGCCAACAAAAAAACTAAATAATGAATGAAATAAAGTAATGTGAAATTACTTACCAAATTCCATGTGAAGGTAAACCAGAAACAAACCATACACCAAGTAACTTTTGTTCTGAGGACATTTTCCTGTCTAGAAGAAAAGGCTGAGAAAAAAGGCTGAGCTAATGGAAGATGTGCCGGTCTATGGTAAAAAAATCAAAGCACAAGGCCAGGTGTGGTGGCTCATGCCTGTAATCCTATCCTTTGACAGGCCAAGGCAGGAGGATAGCTTGAGCCCAGGAATTCAGGATGATTGTGTGCAATACAGCGAGACCTCATTTAAAATAAAAATAAACACAAAAAATCAAAATCAAAAATAAAAATAAAAGCACATTGCCTAACAAAGCTGGGGACTCAGATAAACTACCCAATTTATGTTCAGAGTTTAAGGACAACATCATTAGGATAAGAGGAAATTGAAGGAAAATAGAATTCATGATCTTAAAGTCTTCCTTAATGTCATGTGTATAACAGAAGGAATCCCAACTCTTGAACATGAATAGTGACTTGGGACTGAAAGCACTCCTAGAGACCTTTCCTAGAAAAATGTACCTTCTTAAAAAAGATACTATTATTCTAGGACTCATATATTCCTATAATTTTTTAAATACAACTGGTACTCAAGGCACACAAGAAAAAAATATCATAAGCTAGCAGACACAGACTTAGAAAATTTAGAAACTGGAATTATCTTCAACAAACAACAAATGAACTATGAATATAGTCGGCCCTTCATAGCCACAGATTCACTCAACCAAGGATTAAAAATACATGTATATTTTTAAAAACACGACTATAAAAAATAATAGAAATTTTTAAAAAGCCATGACAGTATAACAATATTTACATAGCATCTACATTGTATTAGGTACCATAAGCAATCTAGAGATTATTTAAAATACGTGGGAGGATGTGTGTAGGCCGTATGCAAACATGATGGCATGTTATATAAGGAATTTGAGCTGCCTGTGGATTGTGGTATCTGCACGGGGTTCTGAAACCAATTTCCAGCAGATACTAAGGAGCAACTATACTAGGCCAATAAAAGCAAGATTGTAATTTTCAGCAGGTAACCAGAAACAGTAAGAATATCACCAATATCTTTAAAAAGATACTGATGCATTGATCTAATAATCTCGATGAATACAGGGCAAGATAAAGAATGCCACACGATGATTGAACATTTCCTCTACCCCCACAACCACACTTGACTAGGAGAAAAAAAAAAAAGAAGAAAAGAATTCCACACAAAAAGATTAGAGTGAAACAGCAGAAAAATTACAACCAAAAAAAGAAACAAACAAAAAAAAATTCTAAAAGAGAGATTTCCTTCAAAGCAGCATGAATTATTAGGTTGGTACAAAATTAATTGTGGTTTTTGCATTGTTGGAATTTGCCATTTGATATTGGAATTTTTTTTTTTTTTTTTTTTTTTTTGAGATGGAGTCTCTCTCTGTTGCCCAGGCTGGGCTGCAGTGGCGCGATCTCGGCTCACTGCAAGCTCTGCCTCCAGGGTTCACACCATTCTCCTGCCTCAGCCTTCTGAGTAGCTGGGACTACAGGCACCCGCCACCACGCCTGGCTAATTTTTTGTATTTTTAGTAGAGACAGGGTCTCACCATGTTAGCCAGGATGGTATCGATCTCCTGACCTCGTGATCCGCCCACCTCAGCCTCCCAAAGTGCTGGGATTACAGGTGTGAGCCACCACACCCGGCCTGGAATACATTCTTAAATAAATGTGGTTATGTTATATGTCATTTTAATGGGCATTTCTTGCTTTTTTTTTTTGGCTAATGACTTATTACTTGCTGTTTATATTTATTTTGGACTATGGAAATGATGCTAGACAAAAAGCAAAGTTGAGTGATTTTCTTATTTAAGTTCAAAGTGGGTCGTAAAACAGCAGAGACAACTTGCAATATCAACAATGCATTTGGCCCAGGAACTGCTAATGAACGTACAGTGCAGTGGTGGTTCAAGAAGTTTTGCAAAAGATACCAGAGCCTTGAGGATGAGGAGTGTAGTGGCAGGCCACTGGAAGTTGACAACAACCAATTGAGAGCAATCATTGAAGCAGATTGATCCTCTTACAATTACATGAGAAGTTGCTGAAGAACTCAACGTAAGAACTCAACGTCAACCATTCCACAGTTGTTCAGTATTTGAAGCAAATTGAAAAGGTGAAAAAGCTCGATAAGTGGGTGCCTCACCAGCTGAGCAAAAATTTAAAAAAACACCGTTTTGAAGTGTTGTCTTCTCTTATTCTCCACAACAACGAACCATTTCTCAATCGGACTGTGAGGTGCAACAAAAACTAGATTTTATATGACAAGCAATGACCAGCTCAGTGGCTGGACCGCGAAGAAGCTCCAAAGCACTTCCCAAAGCCAAACTTGCACCAAAAAAGGCCATGGTAACTGTTTGCTGGTCTGCTGCCGGTCTGATCCACTACAGCTTTCTGAATCCTGGAGAAACCATTACATCTGAGAAGTATGCTCAGCAAATCAATGAGATGCACTTAAAACTGTGATGCCTGCAGCCAGCATGGGTCAACAGAAAGGGCCCAATTCTCCACAGTAACACCCAACCGCACACTGCACAACCAACACTTCAAAAGTTGAACGAACTGGGCTACAAAGTTTTGCCTCATCTGCCATATTCACCTGACCTCTCAACTGACTACCACTCCTTCAAGCATCTCTACAACTTTTTTCAGGGAAAATGCTTCCACAACCAGCAGGATGCAGGAAAAAGCTTTCCAAGAGTTTGTGGAATCCTGAAGCATGGATTTTTACATTACAGGAAAAAACAAACTTATTTCTTGTCGGCAAAAATGTGTTGATTGTAATGACCTATTTTAATTAATAAAGATATGTTAGAGCCTCGTTATAATGATTTAAAATTCGCTGTCCCAAACCACAATTTCTTTTGTACCAACCTAATGCATTGACAGCTGATTTCTCAAAATCAATAATGAAAACCAAAAACAGTGAAATGTTATCTTCAAGGTACAAGTAAAACAACCACAAATCTGTAATATCCCCCAAAACATTCTTCAAGATTGAAGGCAAAACAAAAAATTAAGACAAAGCAAAAAAATTAAGAGAACTGACCATCAGAATGTCTGCATTATGAAACTTCTACTGAGTGTGCTAAAGTAAAAGTTAAAAGATTCCAAAAGAAAAGTCAGAGACGCAGGAAGAAATTAAGACATGGTAAACACATAGGAACATCTAGCTCAAAGTACTGTCCAGCAGCAATACAGTAAAAGTGACATAAGTAATTTAAAATTTTCTATTGTTCACACTAAAAGAAAACAAGGTGAAATCAATTATAATTTCAACATGTAATCATAATGAAAAGCTGAGGTATTTTACATTGTTTTCATACTGTCTTTGAAATATGGTGTTTATACAACATTACAATGCAGATGCTAAATTAAAACTGCCATATAAAATACTTGATCTATATTTTTATATAATTTGCAGCTAATGCCGGGTGCAGTGGCTCACGTCTGTGATCCCATCACTTTGGAAGCCCAAGGTGGGTGGATCACTTGAGGTCAGGAGTTTGAGACCAGCCTAGCCAAAATGGTGAAACTTTGCCTCTACTAGAAATAAAAACATTAGCCAGGTGTGGTGGCACATGCTTGTAATCCCAGCTACTAGGGAGGCTGAGGCAGGAGAATCACTTGAACTTGGGAGGCGGAGGTTGCAGTGAGCCAAGATCATGCCACTGGACTCCAGCCTGGGCAACAGAGCGAGACTCCATCTCCAGGGGGGAAAAAATCTCCAAAAATTAAAAAATAATAATTTAATAATTTGCGGTTAAGAAAGGTTTATGTATCCGAGTTGTTCCAAACATACAGGTTTTACAGTAACTGAATCAAGTGTCAGTTTTTAAACTTAATTGAACACTAAATAAAACTAAAAATTCAGTTCCTCAGTCATACTAGCCACATTTCAAGTGCTCAAAAGCCACACGCAGCTAGTAGCTACTGCAATGAATAGCACAAGCATAGAACTTGTTATCTGGAGTTTAAACTACGTATACAATTCAAAGAACAATGACAGCCTATAAGACCTACATGAAGATAAAAGTTGCCATCCCAGAAGAGAGTAATGCTCCAAGCACAGAGAAGATATTGGCCATACTGCTAGAAATCCCTGAGTAAAACAGACAACCCAATTAAAACAAAAAACAAACAAACAAAAAAACCTCCCAAAAAGATTTAAAAAGACAATGCACAAAAGATTTAAGAATTAAAAAGACAATTCTAGAAAGAGGAAATTCAAATAGCCGGTAAGTTTTTGAAAAAGTGCTCAAACTCTTTAGTGTCCTGGGCAGAATAAATTAAAACAACAATAAGATAAAGCCACATTCATCAAGTTGGGAAAAAGGAAAAATAACTCTTGGTGAGACAGTAAAAGTAAAGGGATCTACCATATACTGCTGTCGGGGTATACATTGGTGTATCTACTTTGGAAAAGGCATAACTAGTGAAGTTGAAGATAAACATACGTACTCTACAAAAACCCATGGTAATGTACATTAAGAATACATGTACAAGAACATTCATAATAGCATTGTTCATAACTACTAAAAACGGAACACAATCCAAATGTTTATTAATATTAGACTAAACTGTGGCTCATTTCCATTAAGACTTTTTATACTATACTTATTATACTATAGATTACTACAATCCAATATAAGAACTAGAGCTAAATGTACTAATAGAGTTATATCCCAGCTGCATGAGAGAAAAAGATACATAATGATATGTAATATATAATCCACTTACATACAATTAAGAAACAGGCAAAACGAACCTAAATTGCTTAGGAATGCTGACATAGGTGGTTAAGAAATACTAAGAAAGAAAGCAGTAAATGATTGCCATAAAAATCAGTATAGTGTTAACCACTGAAAAGAATTGAGGAAAGGGATGATCAGGAATAGAATGGAGAGGGGAGCTTCTCAGGTGCCACAGACGTTCTAGTTCTTGACTGTGGCAGCGCTTACATAGAGTTCACACTTTATAGTTTTTCATTATACTATGTATCGATGTTTGTATGCTTAAATACTAAATGTATGGAAAAAGACACAAAATATTTAAAATTGTAGCTAAGGCACATTAACTGCCTTGCTGGTATTTTTTTTTTTCATTACAAAGTGGCAGACAATTGGTTACACTATAAAGACAGACAATTGGTTACACTACAAAGAAAATTTTAAAGCACAGGAGTCTAGTTTTGATTCCATCGGACATGATTACCGTACACAATACAGAAGATACTAAGGGCTAAGCAATGATGCATAAACGGGGTCCACTGCCCAAACTTACAGAAAGCAAAACGTGGAAAATTAGTAACTTTAACTGATAGTGTACACCTAAAGAACCTACACCGGCCGGGCGCGGTGGCTCACGCCTGTAATCCCAGCACTTTGGGAGGCCGAGGCGGGAGGATCATTTGAGGTCAAGAGATCGAGACCAGCCTGACCAACATGGTGAAACCCCGTCCCTACTGAAAACACAAAAAAATTAGCCAGGCGTGGTGGCACATGCCTGTAGTTTCAGCTACTCGGGAGGGTGAGGCAGGAGAACTGCTTGAACCCAGGAGACAGAGGTTGCAGTGAGCCGAGATCGCGCCACTGCACTCGTCTGGGAGACAGAGCGAGACTCCGTCTCAAAACAAAAAACAAACAAAAAGAACCCACCCAACAGAATTAAGTACCAACATAATAAATACGAAGAATTTTAGATTCTTGGTTTTTAAAAAACATACAAAGATGATATTCCTTCAAAATATCTTTACAAAACATATTGAGACTGTGATGCTTTATATTGATTGTATGAAAACAATGAAAAAGAACCAGCACTGTTTCACTATAAAAGCTTTACTAATGTAAATTTATAAATCCTTTCTTAAATATTTTGAGTTAATTCTAATTTTATGATAGAAATTCATTATTTTCAGCAAAAACAGCTGGCATTTGGGAAACCAAAGGCTCAAAAACTAAGAATAGTAACCAAAGAAACTTGACAAAACAGTCCTTTTAAAACTCTCATCTACACTATAAGGGGAAACTTTGATCACGTCCCTTCTCCTTCATCAATCGTAGAACTCAACATTAAGGACTACACAATCCCACATCCCTCTCCGAGAAAAAGCAAAGGCTTTGTGTTGTAGCAACAACGCAAGACATGGAGGGAAGCTCCACTCAAGACTTCCCTGCCTGCTCCTTCCCCAAAGCCACTCCAGAATACCAGGGAGGGTTGAGAGGTAAGGCATGAAGGGCGCAATATCCAATATGAGCAACGCGTGTGATGCATCTGGTCAAAATGCATACAGAGGACTTGTCTCTGTCCCTAGATAGAAGTCCTCCGTCCTGCAGTCATGAGGGTCAATTGCTGAGGCTTCACAGTTCCCTTCTCTCTTACACTCGGACCGTCACGCTCCTCACCTACTACCCCGATGCAGAGGTAGACTCAGGATCCCTGCACTTGTCAAGGATTCCTCGGCAAGCTCACGGGGCGGGAGTGGCCACAAGACGGAGCTCGCCTGGTCCTGGCCTTCCCGGCCTATACAAGCCTGCCCCCTTCCCAATTCCCAATCTCCACAGCCTTCCATCCTCCCACTTTCGATTCACCTTGCGCCACCGACGCCCCTGGCCTTCGTTTGCAGCAAGTTTACCCCCACCATTACCTCTCGCATAAAAGCCTGCATTTACCAGGTCAAAGAGGGGAACCAACGCCTGCAGGAATCGCTTCACCGAATCGCCTGGCCGCGTCCTCTGCTAGACTTCACCTGCCGCTGCGGACCGTACACAACCACTCCCGGCATGCCCCGCGCACGCACTACCTCTCCCACCCCGCCCCTCTCCCGCCCAAACACGTGACCTCCTTTCGTCTCCGTCCACGCCCACTTCCGTTCCTCCACTTTCCCTTAGGAAGGAGGAGGGAGCTGGGGGTGTTAAAAGCGTAGCGACTTCCTCCTCCTCCCCGCCCCCGCTCCTGTACCTCCCGCTACAATGTCTTCCGGGTCGCTAGCGCCTCGACGCCTTCTGGGAAAATAGCTCATTTCCTCCCCTCCCCCTCCTCCTGCCTTCAACCAACCAGCCACCCGTCAGAGAGGGACATGCGCAGTGAGTGCCTCCCGTCTCTTCTACCCGAACCCCCCCTCCCCCCCAAGCAGAGAGACCCCAGCAGCAGCAGCAGCTGATGATGAAGAGAGAGGCAGTGGCAGAGGGGGGGCACCTTTTATTTCTATTTTTAAAGGGACAGGACACTAATTCTACCCCACTTCAACCTTGAATTCAGGGGGGTGGGGGGAAGGCGGCTGAGTTCCTTCCCCCACCCTCCAGCCCTGAGCCCTGAGAGGGGGATTGAGCCTGAGAGAGGAGAAGGAGTTTCTTCTTCTTCGAAAACCCCCATCCACGACTCCTACCCCCTCACCCCTCCAACTCGCCTCCCTCCCTCCACCCTCCTCCTCTTTGGCCGTGAGAGGAGGAGAGAAAGAAACCAAAAGCCTCTTAGCAACACAGACCCTTTGCTGCTGCTGTTGCTGCTGCTGCTGCTGTTGCTGCTGCTGCTGCTACTGCTGCTGCTGCTACTGCTGCTGCTTGGCCCTGGCTGGAGACATCTCACTACACCCAGGAGCAGCCACTTCCCCAGCTCTCCTCCTCCTCCTTCGCCTCCTCCTCCTCCACTCCCCCCCTTTATTACCCTTTGTGTCATCCTCCACAGCTCCAGGGAAGGCACTCAAAAGTGGGGGGCAGGAAAGGTAAGTGTGTCTGTGGGGGCTTCATTGCCTTCCTCTGGCTCTGACTTTCACTCCGGGGCAACAGTAGCACCAAACCACATACGCAGTGGAGCTCCGGGGTGAGGAGGGGGTGGTGCTGGGGGGGGTGAAGGAGGGGTTGGAGTAGGGAGGGGTGTGTGAGGTGGGGTGCCCATCCTGTCAGGGGAGGAAGGGCACTTTTATTTTTATTTGCTGTTGTCAAAAGTGGTTTCTCTCCTCCATCTAACATCTGATTGTGTCTTGCTCCAGTGGGGGAGAATACAAAAACAACCCCCTCCTTCCTCCAATGAGGCGCCAGGGAAAGAGACAGAAAGAGGCACACTTTCTAGATGTCACTTAAAAAAAATTCATTGGAGAGCTCTTTTTCTCCAGGAAAAGCTCCACTGCATTTGTTTCTGAGTGGGAAAATGTCGGGATCTGGATTGTATTGGAACTGCTTATCCATTTGTAGACCTGAGTGTTTTCCCCTTTTTGGTCCTGTATGAGATTTGGATATTGACTTCAGTGTTGGAAGACTTGATTGGTTTTTGCTTTAAGGGTTTCATTTTCCATTTTTTCGTTTTGTCTGACTTCCATGGAAAATTTCAAATTTTTAGTTGGTAGAGGCCTTTGGTTAGGTTTTGACTTGCATTATTGCTTTTTTTTTGGTTAAATGTCTGTTTCATATATCAGTATATAAAGTCCAAAGCTCTAAAATGCTTAAAGTTTAAATGCCACTGCTATTGTCTGTTCCCACATACGTTCCTGATACTTATTTTCCATATGATGAGAATATTAGCTATTTTATAATTAATCTGGGTATATTTGTAATCTTTGTAACTTGTCTGAACAAGTAATCCCCATTGAAAACTTTATGTTGTTCTGGCTGCATGGAAGGCCAAACCTCTCCATCAATAGTTTGCTGGATTGGTACCACTTTCAGTTTTAGCTGAATTATTTATTTACTGTTGTAAATTGAGATGAGTTTTTCATCTCAATTTCTCTTGGGGTTCTGAACCAAATTGCCCACTGTATGTAAAAGTACACAAATTTCTAAAATATGTTTTCATGAGTCAAAGAAATCATGAACTTATAGTTAGTATATTAATTTCAGTTAGCTATAAATTGAAAGGTAAATCCAGATTTAAGTTTATGGAATAACAATATTGATAAAAATCACTTCATTTTTGTATAATGTGTTCTTAGTGCATAGCTTTAAAATTCAGTGCTGTATTTTATTTCACAAATGTTAGAAAGTATGTTTCTGATGTAGGCCTTTTACTAGGGCTTATATTGGAAAGTGTTATTTTGTTTCATATATACATTTCTTTATTCTTTCCTTGAAGATGGATGCACACATGCATATACACACACTCTCTTTCGCTCGCTCTCTCTCCCTCACACCCTTTTTTTTTTTTTTGTAACTGCATTGGTATCTCTGATCCCATAATTTATGTCAGCAAAAAATATTCTTCTGTAAAGCAGCAATTTTGTGATCAGACTGGCAATATGAAAACAGCAATTTGATCAACTAGAAAGGATTGAAGAAATATAAATCTAGAAGGATATTTGGCAAAAATATTATAAAGACATGATAATACTTCTAATTTTTTATTTTCTTGATGGTTAAAGCTAAAACATATATTTTAGTGACAGTGAAGCATTGCATATGTAGAAACTTGTTCTGTAAAATTTTAATTATCAACTGTGTGCAAAAGTAGACATTTACATACCGAAATAAAAAAGCTTTATAGCAGTAAACAATATGATCTTATTTCCCTTCTGTTATAAATTTGAACAATTTTTTACCTTTCTCTGAGATGTAATTAGTGCACTTAAGCAGAAATCTGTGCCAAGTTCAAGTTTTTCTCCCAACATCAATACTGCCATTCCAAGTCCTTGTAAGGTTTCTTGTTCTCACCTTAAAACCTCAGCAACTTTAAAGGTAAGAGAGAGACAGTAGAACTTACTGAAGAAATTAATTTTAGGTAAGGGAATTATGTAGATAATTGGGGTGGTAGTTGCCCAGTAGGCAGCTGAGTAAAAATTTAGTCTTGAGTTTAATGTCTTTCCTTATTTTGTTTCTTTTTTTTTTTTAAACATTTTTTTATCACACCCCTCACCCTCACCCCCATGATCCTTTATGGTTAGAAGATTGCAGACTTTATCTAAGTTGGATAATGATTTATGTTTAGAAAACCTTTTTAAGTATTAAGAACCATTGATACTTTAGGATTGTAATTGTTCAACTGGGTGGTATCTTGGAGGTCACTTTATCCAACTCTACCTATTGCTGAAGTTCTAAGAACTTGAACTTGCCTGAGGTTCCAAGGCCTGGAAGTGACAGAGCAGGGACCAGGGAACTCAGGTCTCCTGATGCTCACTATGCTGCACTACCTCATTTCCTTTGTCAGAAATGAAACTATTATGTACAGTTCTGGGTATACCACTTGAGGGTTTCATATGGGAGCATGTTATTGTAAGAATATTAAGGTAAATGGCTTTAAAGCTATTATTTTGTCTACTTAAATTTAGTAATTTGTTAATTTTTTAAAGTACTAATTGCACTTATTGTAGGTTATTACTATTTTGAAAATAATTTCAGCTTTCTCTAATACTTATTTTCCTCCTGCACTTACAATTAATCAGTAAATATACTTACTGTTGTATTAAGGGCCCATACTTATAAGAATAAATGGAATGCATATTCTCTTATAAATGCTTACTTGTGAGTCTTGCCCTATGAACTGCCTAAAAACAAACATTTTTGTTTTGTTAACACATCCTTCTACTCTTGGCACAATATCTGGTACACAGTAGTTCCTACTGGTAGCTTGTCATAATCCATGTTAGTTTTAGAGTTAGGCATATTTGAATTTCTTTACTTCCATATGTGGAATTCCTTTCCTCTCCTTTTCTTGTCCTCCCTTGCCACAATTTTCACTATCATGAACATTTTTTCTTTATCTCTACTGTGGCTCTCATTTTATCTAATTAACAGCCAAATTAAATACTGTTAACAATATGGTACTCATAGTAACAAGACATATTCCCTTCTTATACAGGAAGCAGTTTGGCAAAAGTGATATATTATGAATAAGCAATAATGATCCAACACATTCCAGTTAAAAATATACTTGTAAAAATTGTTCAGGATGCACTTAAATTTCATTGACCGGTGCAATAGGTTGTTGGAATGATTAGGCCGCTTTTACCAGCTCTATAAAACAAGTGCTACTTAGGTGACATGTTTCCCTGACTTTGTTTTTTTGGTCCTTACCCAGACAATTATCAACTTTCCAGTTTTCTATGGATATGAAGATTTACTCCTAGTCATCAGTGGGACCCCCATGAAGTCAGCCAGAAAGCCTATATCCAACTTATGTACCTTTGCAAACTTGTCTGGATTTTGACTGTATGTGCAAAACAGATTGTACTTAGCGATTCATTAAACATCTTTTGATCATCTGCTGTCTGCCAGGCACTGTGCTAGGCATCTGAAAAACAAAGATGGTCCCTGCAGTTTAATGTGAAGAGCTATCTTAATTGTATTCCACAAGTGTATTGGTCGTATCTTTGTTTTGGTGTTTCTACCTAAATAAATTTTATATTAACTAAATGGATACTGTTAGGTGGAAAAATGCATGTTTAAGAAAGATATTGCTGTTATTTTATTAAAATACAAATATATAAAGAAAAATTTTCCACTTAATACTGTATTCTAGGGATTTATATTCTGTATATAGTTAACACATTTTAGACAATGAAAATAGCCTATGTGGTTGCCTTTGCTGGATTTTTATTGCTAACCGTAATTCTTTTAAGATGACCAACAATGTTCATTAAGTTATCTCATTAAATTTTTCCAAAAAAAAAAAAACACCCCAAACCCTCTAAACTTAAATCTTTTTCTCAAAAGTAACTTTTTTCTTTTTTATCTCATATAACAGATTATCATTCATGATTCATTGGAAGACATTGTACATTTTCATTTTGAGTTTTCAGATATTTTCTACCAAATTTTAGCAAATCTAACAGCATGATTTAATTATTCTGCAGTAATTAGTGTGCACTATTTAGGAGTTTTGGAATTTTTAGTATGTAGTAGAAATATCATTGCAAAATCCTCATAAGAAACTTCCCAATTCTAGTTCTAAGTCAGTTGTAATTTTTAATCTTTATTAAGTGGTATAATCTCTATAGCTTTAGTAAAATGATTTGGAATTTTCTTAGTAGATAGATGTTTCAAAAACAAAGAATCTTATCTCAGTTCCTGTCATGGCTTTCATGTGTAATCGAAAAGTATATTAGAAAAAGTACTGGATTAAATTTGCCTTTCTTAAAGTATACCTTTTACAAAAGTATTGATTTGCAGTTAAAAAGAAGGTGGGGATGCCTCTGCTGGTGCAGTATCTTGTGAAGATAAATAGACTCCTGAGTGGTGAATTCTGATCTCTTTCACGTTCATTCTTAACTTTCTATTTTAGTAATAATCATAGTTACCATTGATTATAAGTACCCAGCACTGTGATAAATTGAATTCACATTACATTTATGACACTTTCTAATTCAAAACACAGTCACAGTAGAGTTTTTATCAATCTGTACACTGGTAAGCGATGGTAAAATTATGGCCCTGATAGCTTCACAGACTAATGGAAAATTTCTGAAAGTTTACAAGTACAGAAAAACAAAGAAAAAAAACCCAGTCTTTTATAAGGAATGTAGATACAGACCATTGTACAATTTAAAATATACATAATGTCAGTCTTTTCTTTGTATGGCAAAAATGACATTTGGGAACTGCTCATGGTGACTCAACGCTTGTAATGTAATCCCAGCTACTCGGAGGCTGAGGCGGGAGAATTATTTGAGCCCCAGATTTTGAGGCTGCAGCGAACTATGCAATCCAGCCTAGGCCACAGAGCGGGACCTTGTCTCTAAAAATAAAAAATAAGGTCAGGTGGAATAGCTCAAGCCTGTAATTCCAACAACTGGGAGGTGAGGTAGGAGGATTTATCACTTGAGGCTAGTAGTTCAGGGTCAGCCTGTGCAATGTAGTGAGATCTGATCCCTACAAAATCAAAATAGTAGCTGAGCTTGGTGTGGTGCACACTGTAGTCCCAGCTACTCAGGAGGCTGGAGAGGATCTCTTGAACTCAGGTTGAGGCTGCAGTGAGCCATGATCATGCCACTGGACTCTGTGCTGAGCAACAGAGTGAGACCCTGTCTCTAAATAAATAAATAAACAAATAAAAAAACAGTAAAAAAAAGTTCAGTTCAATCCTTATCTGTATTAAACTTCCTTTAACTTGTGTGGAGTTACATTTAATATTTTCTTATATGAAGTTCAAAGGTTATAACAATTTCTGATCCAATGAATATTTACTATAAAATTTTTAATATAAATGTGTTGATGGTGTAAAAGCCCATAAAAAATGGGAAGTTTATATTGTCTTGTGCTTTGGTGTATGTATACACATTACCTTCTGGACTCTATCATACATTTTCATAATTACTACATTACATATATAGGATTAAGTTTAATGTACTCTTTTTAGTACTAAAGTCAGAAATATTTTGGTATAAGAATGATCAACTTGTTGGGTTCTCTAGGTGCCTAAATTATTTCATATTTATACTTAAAAGCTACTGAATTAAAATACTTTTTAATACAGTTCTCTTTGGGTAGTTGAGTTTTACATCCTTTACTTTTAAGAGAAAAAAAATTAAAAACTTTTTTTCCTGTTTTTATTACTTAAGTAACTTTTGTGTCTCTTCTAAGTAAATACATGTTCATATTATAAATTTATACAGGTTGAGTATTCCTAATCCAGAATTCCAAAATCCGAAATGCTTAAAAATCTGAAACTTTTTGAGCACTGACATGATGCTCAAAGAAAATGCTCACTGAAGCATTTTGGATTTTGGATTTTGAGGTTAGGGATGTTCAATAGATATATAAGGCAAATATTCCCAAATCTGTAAAAATCCAAAATTCTAAATACTTCTGGTCCACAAAACCTTTTGAATAAGGGATATCAACTTTTATTGACTCTATCGTCCTGCAAATATTATGCCAGTACATAATGACCTGCAGAGTTTGGAAACATTTTTAAATGCTAAAGAAATATTCTTTATCATCTGTTATATATTAGAAAAGTTTATTGCAAATGTTTTGTTGCTTATAAGAATAATCCGAATAATCAGTAGTGTGATCTTAAATAATTTCTTTAAACAACCCAAAGATAATTCAGTTAAAAGTAAATATTCTAACTCTAACACTTAGAGTATTTCTGTTTGAGGTATTTCTATGTCATGTAAGATGTCAGAAGCTGGAATGACTCACTGTAACTCACTATAACTCTTCAAAGAGACAGTGAGATCCAGGCTTAACTTATATTATGGTATAATTTATTCAAAGTTGGATATCACAAATTTTGATTTGTATCCTTATTTCAGTTGACCTATATAACCTTTTATTAGAGAACCTGTAATTAAGTTCAGTGTCATTGAGTAGATTATTAGAATACATTGTTTTAAAGGACTAATATGAGTTATGTAAATCAGTCACCAACCTTGAAATGGTGAAAAGTTTTTGTACACATATGCTTCACTGAATTCTTCTGCTAACCAATCAAGATTCTAGCAATGGGAGGAAAATTTTCTGTGTGGTGCTAATGTTAAAACTTAAGTTCATGTGTAGCTTTTAAAAAAAAAATTTAATATCTGTATCTCAGAAGTTAGAAGTAATCCCAAAGTGTTTTTTAAGATTGACTGTGTGCTAAATTATACTTAGGGTTATCCTTGTATTCACAATTACTGTTTTTTATACACCATGAGTCCAGAAGTATCTACTAATCTGTTGGCCATCAACTAACTTAATCCATACATTCTTAATATTATTAGGATCTAAAAATAATAATTTAGACTGTATAAGTACATTTACTGATGTTGGGGGAGGGAAATATTCCACATTCAATAAAAGCAAATATTGATTTTTAAATAGCTTTGTTACTTGGGATATACTGACCTAAAAAGAGTTCACTGTGTAAGATATAAAATATTCTTATTTGAAAAGTTATAAAGTATCATTAATGAGTATTAAATAACATAAAAATATTTAGGAAATCAAATACGTGCTCCTGTAATATTCAGAGGCTATTTTTTTAGTGTTATTCCAAAATCATTTTCCTTCTATATTTGTCACACTGGAGTTTCTGCTGAAGGATTTCTTGGCCATTTTAGACAATGTAATCTAGTTAAAAGGTTTGTTTATGCTTCCCATCTCTGTTCTGCTGATGGTATTAGAATGCAGGCCAGAGCCAGACATCTAACTGTTTATAACATTCAAACTTCAATTAAAGCTACAGTGTTCAGTTTACTATGTATCAGAAAGCTCTTACTAGCTACAAATATCACTAATAGTGATGAGAGTGATGTTGACTAGCTATAAGCTTTCCTAAATCATACCACTCATTAAGAATACTTTTTTTAAAATTTAGGTGTTAACCTTTAATTCTTTCATAGAAGTATAAAATTAAGCTTTTTTTTTTTACTAGAAGTAATATAGTCTTTTCCTTTAACACTTTTTATAATAAAACCTAACAGCATATATTATTGCATGTATTATTTAAATGGTCCACCTTAGTTGTTTTGAAATTAATGAATTCTGTAGAAGGTGTTACTTTGCTATTCAATTTATTCGAATTTTCTTCCTAGCTTGAAAAATATAGCAATATGTTGCCCACTAGAAAATAAACCTAACAGTCACATTAGTCAGGTGTTCTTACATGTATGAAAGGAGTCTAGTCCCACATAACACAGATTCTAATTTAACATATCGCTTTTCTAGGCTGCTGTTCTTATTGTTTTAAGTATTTTGGTAAATTGTTTTAGAAGGGTTTTTTGTTTTTAAAAATTATTTAGAATTCTTTGAAACCATTTCTTCAACAGCTTCTGTTTTTGTACAGTTTACCTGGGCCAGTCAGAAAAGGATTTGAATTTTATGTGTGTTTAATTTTTCTAATTAGTAGGCAAATTTGCTATGTTACATTGGTTTCTTTTTTTACGAAACCAAATTTTAGTTTTTATTAATTTTAGACCTTGAATGACTAAATCTACACATTCTTTATGTATGTACATGTAATTTTTATTGACATCCAAGTTTATAAGAGGTATAAGTAACAGATCATTTAGGAAAGATGGAAAATCATATTAAATCTAATGCATTGCTGGTAAAATGCTTTTAATTAAAAAATACTACGATGGAAATATTAAAAGAAGCTAAGTAATATAAAAAGTTAGGGGCCAGGTGCGGTGGCTCATGCCTTAACCCCAGCACTTTGGGAGGCCAAGGTGGGTGGATTGCTTGAGGTCAGGAGTTCATGACCAGCCTGACCAGCATGGTAAAACCCCATCTCTATTAAAAATACAAAAATTAGCCAGGCTTGGTGGCACATACCTCTAATCCCAGCTGCTTGGGAGGCTGAGGCAAGAGAATCGCTTCAACTCAGGAGGCAGAGGTTGCCTCCTGAGTGCAGAGATCATGCCACTGCACTTCAGCCTGGGTAACAGAGCAAGACTCTGTCTCATAAGAAAAAAAAAAGTTGGGAAATACTCTCAAGTGTATCTGAAGATAAGAATGAAAAACAACCATGCAAAACTTAGATTTATAGTTTAAATCCATGGAAAGATCTCTAAGATAAGCTAGGTTGAAAAGCACATCACAAAATAATATGCACACTATGATTTCATTTATGTAAAAAATGGACAGAATAATAAGTATGCAATGTTTATGAATGTATATGTTTACATCCATACAATACATTTTTATACTATTTATACCATAAAGACATAAAGTATATGCCATATATATTAGAACCTCAGTACATTAAGAAAAAATCTGGAAGATAGGTATCAAATTCCATGCTTTGTATACGGAAAGTATATATGTGGGATGTGGGAAGGTTGACGAATTCTTTTTATTTAATCTTTAGCATTACTTGGATTTATTTGTAGCAATAAGCTTATATTCATGTAATGATTTTTGATGAGAAAATATACTTACGTATTGAAGTAAAAAATGACCCAGGAAAATTGCAGTTCTAGTCTAAATAGTCACATGAATATATCCCTAGAATATCTTGAAGAGAATATAGTATTGGCTAACAGTCATCATAGCTTGATAGAGAATAAAGTCTGTCAGACTTATCTAACAGGGTGAAAAGCCTAGTCAATTGAGGAAGGAACAATGGATATAATGTAGTTTTTAAATATTTTGCTTCTTACTGAAAAATGCACTTCTCACTGTCCTGGAAAAATATAGACTGGGCTGCTGGTGATAAAGGATGGCAGTTATAAAGTGGTAGACAATTTCAATCTGAGATAAGATATAATATATGGGAATAAGATGAACTTTATTATTTTAATCAGTGATCCAAATTATTATATGTTCACTCAAAATACAGATAGTATAATCATGTAATATTTTTGTAATGTTTTCTATAATCAGGTACTGGTTTGAATAGAGGACAAAAATAAAACAGAAGGTTTGAAGACTAAGTACTTCTTTTTAAGTGACTGAAACATGTACTTGAAAAACACTTTAAGAACCTTTGTAAAATAACATTAAACTGAGTGTGTAAATATGCCTTGTAAAAAAAAAAGCAATTAGAATTCTGTAGAGTTAATCACAGTGTGCTTTTGGGGAGGACCTGAGTTAATCAGGGTTTAGGTGGAGTTTAGATACTAGTTTGTCACAGAAGAGGGTAATTCAGGTAAAGACAAAGCTTCCAATGGGTGAGAGGATTGGGAAGCTTATTTTTACTAGTTTGAAAGCTGGGATTAAAATTCAGAGTAGCCTGGTAAATTAGGGAAATGATTTGAAATAATATACCGTACCTTTACTTTTATGGTTCTAAAATTTTATTTCCCTGAATGTAGTTTCGAAAAGAAAGAAGTAGAGAAAGGGGGAAAAATTATTTGCACAAAAAATAAGGAAATGAATAGGTCCTTGCAATTATGACTAGAGAGTCCATTGGAGTCTGAAGTGTTTTCTGAATATGAGTTGGAAATGAAAACACTAGTTAAGGCAGCAAACATGCAAGAATACTAGCTAAGGTTCTTTTTTCTTTCACAAATAAATTTTTTACCCAGGTTGATCCCTAGGATCAATAGTAAATAGTACACAATTAAAACTATAAATCATCTATAAATGCTGAAAGTAACAAAGGATGCAGCTTATGTTTTCTCCATTTTCTTTATAAGTTTTGTTTGCATCTAATTTATTTCCAGGTACCCCTATGATGTAAATTACCATCCAGTCTTCACCTACTACCAGAAATTGAACTTTTTTATTTCTTCTGAAAGTTTAAAGAGTTCTAATATGGCTCTGTATTTTTTTTAGCTAAAATGTCATAGTGAATTTCTTTAAACGGTGGTTATTGTTGACTCAGTGTTTATCTCTTTTTCACAAAGGGTTTGCCAGTGTCTTTCTTTGACAAACATGTGTTGTTACTATTATGTGCTCACTGGGATAGTGAGCAAAAATAGACATAGGTCTTGATCTCCCGGAACTTATATCTAAAGATAGAAAAGGATATTAATGAAATAATCATACAAATAAATGCAAAGTTGGAACTGTTTCAGTTGCTGTAGAGAGGTACGTAATATGAGGGCTTTTAGAAGGAGAATTTACTCAGTGCGATCAAGAGGAATTTTTTTTTGGAGGAAGTGTTTATTTAGCTGAGATCTCAAGTAAGTTAATTTGATCAAGATGAAGAAAAGAGTTTTCTGGGAAGAAGGAATAGCATATACAGAGGTTCTGAGGTGGGAGGAAGCATAGTACCGAATATTAAACAAAGGTCAATGTGGCAGAAGTTTAGAGCAAGAGTTTGCATGGTAAGTGATGATGCTAGGGAGTTATGTAGGAGCCAAACTGCAGAACTTTGTGTAGGCCAAGCTTTCCTTTATCCTTAGGTTTAATATTTAAACTTAGACTAATGTTCCTTAGGTTTAACAAGAAAAACCTACTATTAATTATAAAAGATTTGTGTTATAGAAGTTCATTTTTATTTCAGTTTAAAACCAATAATGCTTTTTCCCATAGAATCATGGTTACAGTGACAGGTCTCATAAGAAACCCTTTTAACAGAAATAACATTGGAAACCAGTCAACGTAGTGTCATAAATATAACCAGGTAGAAGTTAGAAAAGAAAAGGAAGGAGATTAAAAGTTATGTCTATATGTATTCAAAAGAGAATGTCCTGGGTATGATTGACTAAGCTGTGAATAATGAAGAAAAAAGCCTTACTTCAAGTGCATTAGGCTGGTGCAAGAGATTCTAACAAATGATGGTGAGGGACACATTCAGCTGGACAGCTTAGAAGATCCTTAGCTGGCACCTAGATATAGAACAGAGTGATAATGTCGAGCAAACCAAGGTAGAAGGAGAGTAGAAGTATCACATTCATAATTTGTTCTGAATTTAGCACATATTCGTGTCAGTTGTTAGAATATAAACATTTAAAAAATTATATACTGGTAAGAAATGCAGAGCTACCAAATGTCAGCAATACAGATGCCAACTTTATTTTGATTATATTGAGAGTGATTTCATACAGTTAGAAGTGATTATAAATTGCTCAGTTGTACTATTTTAGGCCATAATGTTAGCTTTGAATATCTTAGTGTGCATCACTTGGAGTGATACTTTAAAGAGGAAGTTGAAGAAATTTAATTTTTTAATTCTTATTTTTCTTTTAACTTATTGTCAATAAATTATCTTCATTTCAGGTTGATCTTAAGTTTTAAGCCTCTTTGGACACTAGTTTCTGTCTGTATTAAGTAATTAACAATCTAATAACTGAAAATTCAAGGAATGCCCAAAATATTAAGAGCATTATAAAAAATAATTGATTAAGCAACTTTTATTAAGAAGAAAATATCACAAAGATGTAATAAATTGTAAGAGACAAGGAAGATATGTACAAGTCTTCATTAAATAAACAGCGTACCACATAACAGTTGATGAATTCTGCCAATGCTTGAAGTTGAAAATTGATGAAGGTACTTCATCAGGTGATCTTGAACTTAATTTTCTCGCATTCTCAGGTACAGCAGACCATGCTTTTACAGCAGATTGGCATCTAAAAATAAGAACTATAGAATTTAGAGCTTATTTATTTGTTTACTTATTTTTAAAACATTCCAATTGAGAAAATACCAGCATTGATTCATTTTCCATGCAATATCTAGCAGGCTACTTTTAATTAATAGACCAACAGTGTTCGGAAAGCTTATTAGAATGTTTGACAGCCTGGGCACCATGGTGAAACCTCATTTCTGCAAAAAATGCAAAAATTAGCCAGGCATGGGGGCAAGTGCCTGTAGTCCCAGGTCCTTTGGAGGCTGAGGTAGGAGGATCACTTAAGCCTGCGAGGTCAAGGCTGCAGGGAGCCGTGATGATGCCACTGTACTCCAGCCTGGGTGACACAGTAAGACCCTGTCTCAAAACAAAAGAATGTTTGAAAAGACAGTTTACTAAATTTATCTAATAATTCTAAGAGGTCAGTGTACCTCTTAAATAGAAATGAAGTTTCACTTGTGCATTTTTCAGGGATTGATACGTTTCTTCTATTTTACAGCTTTCTACTGTTGTTTAGCGAAGCGTATTCCAAGGTCCTCTAGTTCTGTGATAACTTAATAGGTATGATTATCCTCGCACCTGAAAAAACCCAAAAGGCTGCTTCATCAAATAAGGTTTAAAAACCATGATTATGATTAACGAATGCTGGATAAACATTTTTACTGCAATATTTTTTCAAGGGGTCTTAATATGTAATTCTTCTGAACTTCTAATAATGGTCACTAACATTTATTGAGTACTTTGCGCCACTCATTGTGCTAAAAGTCTTGTAGACATTATCTTATTTTATCATTATAACAAACAAACATTCTGAGGAACATACTTAATGAAGTGTTTCTTCATATTTCACTGCTTATAAACACCTACCCAAAAATTTAACGTGAAGAATACAAAAGTGAGACAAACATCATTTTCTTTTGTTGCATCCTTAGCGGCTTTGAGAAAGAAAGGTCATGAAAATTATTTTTAAAGTTAAGTGCTGAGCTTATCAATATGTTTTTACACTCTTCTAATTACTATTACTCACAGATGACCAATGATAAACATTATACCCTTTTTATTAATAGGCGACAACCTGTAGAGCTTTCAGAGACATTCCTGGGTTTGAGCATTGGCTCCATAGACTGAATACTACAATATAGAACCTTTAACGAGCTGTTAAAGTTCTGAACTTTAGTTTATCAGTAAAATTAGTATGGTAATGCATATCTCAGAGTTGTCATGACTATGAATGATAGAGTATGAAGTCCTAGAATGTTGTGGACATTCACTAAATTTTTTCATTTTCCTTCTCTCCTATTACTAATAGCATCTACTACCATAGTAGATGAAAAAAAATGAAAAAAATGGATTGTTACCTTTATTAATAACAAAATATCACAAAGATGAATTAATTCTAAGAGAGGGAAGATATGTGCAAGTCTTCGTTGAATAAGCAGGGTGCACTATTAGTAATAGTAGAAGGCGAGAAGGAAAATGAAATTATATTACTATTAATAACTGTTCTATAATCTGTATGTTATGCGTTAAAAATTTTTTCTTTTTTTAGAAATAAAATTATCTGTTAATCTTAAAGCTATTTTAAAGCTTTCTTGAACTCCTACATTTTTCTGAGGACTGATATACTTCATTTTTGTGCTGTTCTGCACTTTGCCAACACAGTAAGACCCACAAAGTGGACATCTGTAAACATGAAACTCAGATGGTGGAGAAATTTGAATAAATGCTCCCCAACTTGGTTAATGTAAATATTCTCATAACTTACAGCATTGGTTTTGGTGATTGTTATTAAGTGAACAAATATGTAAATATATTTTCTTTCCTTGTCTTTGTTTCCTCACATTAGGTAGGCAATATTGCAAAAACGTTAAGAGCACGGACCCTAGAGCCAGACTGTCTGGATTCAAATCCCTGCTCCACCACTTAACTAGCTATGGGATATTCTGTGCCTCAGTCTCTTCATTAGTAAAATGGGCCTAGTCAGTTGTGTCCACCTCAGGGTTATTTAGTGAGTTTAGATATAATCAATGCTTTAGATATATACAATGCTTTAAAAATGCCTGGTTCATGCTAAGTGACACAAAAGTATTAACTGTTATAGTGATTATATGTGTTGTCTTTATATTAGTTGTACTATAGAAAATAGTGACTAGTATATTATGGTAAATCTTTAACTTGGTAATATTTCATTTGGTACAATAAAACAAATTCTATTTATAGTTCTTTGAAATGTATACCAGACTTTTCAAATGACACTTTTATGTGTCTTTTTACATTTGCCAGATTCTTTACATTATTGTTTTACTTCTTGTTGAGGGAGATAGTGGGAAAAATATCTTTGTTGTTTCTCATAAAGAAACAGACATACAGAGTGTTTAGGACCTTTTAAAGTATAGCAATAAGAAAGTCAGTGGAAAGACTAAAATTAGAACCCAACATATTCCATGTGCCAATGTGTTGAGCCAAGCTATCTGTTCTCCTTATTGAGAATTCAAACAACAAAACTATTAGTTGACATTCTCCTCATTGAGAATTCAAACAACAAAACCATTAGTTGGCAAAGTAAATGTAAAGATATGTTCTTCTGTTGTTTAAAATTGTATTAGCTTGTGTCTGCTTTGGATATATCCTCTTACTTAAGGTTGGTTCACTCAAAGATTACTTGAAAAGTTTGATTTAAATGGGTGTAGACAATTAAAGTTAAGTATTGGGCTAGCCATCCCTTAGGACATTTAAGGGCTGAATATCTTTTTTAGCCATCAACTGGCTTTTTCTCCATCTTTGATGAACTAGGTCAAAAACTCCTATTTCTCATAGTCAGTACTCTAGTACTATATATGGGCTCAGTGCTCCTGTGAGCCATCCTAGAAACTTAACTGTCATTCTTAGTATTTCATTTCTATTAAGTGATTCCAAGTTTCAGGGAATAAATTAGTGAGCAATGAGGTTTTGAACAGCACTAGATTTATAAGGTGAACAGTATCTATGTTTTAATTTTCATATTAAAGAACATTTTAAATAGGTTTTTATTTTTTCTTATTTAAACTATTACAGAGTGTGTAACTCATAAGTTTAAGAAACTGATGAACAGTTTGGTTGGGGGACCCAGAAAATAATAAATATTGGCAATCAAAACACTCAGAAGCATTTTTAAAGAGATAATTATAAATGGTTGCGTAGATAACAAAAGTAATTTCAAATTTATAATTTATGCTCATAATTGCTTAAGACGTAGGGTTTTTATGTAAAGGCAGAATGAATTTTCTCTTCCAAAATAACCAAACTTAACATTTAGTATACTACTCTAAAAATTGCAAACACTTAATGGAGATTTTTACATAAAGGCCACTTTTATTGTAGAAAACTAAACAAAGATAATTTGTTTGTTTCAAATAACCAAGTATTGACTGGATTCTGGTACACAACATCCCTGGTATTTTTCATATGAAATAATGCTTAAATGTTATAAACAAGTTCTACAAAATGTTCTAAAATCTTTTTTGGTATTTTCATATATTCATTCTGCATAGAATCAGGAAACCTAATCACCCAGTAACCCAGTTTGAAAACTCATATTATTTTGTAAATCCTGATGTAATTAAACCACTTTAAATGTCTGCTAAAAAATATCAAGTTATATTTACATATGCTTTTTTAAAGTTATGCCTTGTGAAAAATATTATTATCTTTAAATGAGACAGTTAGAGACATCTTAAACTATTAAGGTTAACATCAGCTGCTAAGAGACATCAAATCCTGATTCAAGAGAATAGTAATATTTTCATAAGCAGAAATTTTTCTCAAAGAGAAAAAACAGAATGTGCAGTGTATTCGCATTATAAATGCAGTTAGGAAAAATGCATTTACAGAAAGTCCCAGGACTTGAGAAGCAAGCTCAGGTTTTTCATAGTGATGTAGAGAAGCATAAATGTTCATTAATTCAGTTACTCATTCTAAAAATATTAAGTACTTACTGTATGCCAGTTATTCACCTATGAATAAGACAGGCAAGGACTATGGAGCTTATAGTCTTTCCACTGAAGACCAATACTAAGGAAATATTTATGAGTGATATACATTACAAAAGAACAAACAGTTCTTTTCAGCTATTTAGAGAATGCAGATACAAGTTGAGTTGTAAAGCAAACATTTCTAGGTGATAATAATAAAAGCATTAATTTTTCATTCTCTCAATGTTTTGGATCAGGAGAAAGAGACCCAGAAAAGGTCTCTTATCCAAGGTTATATAACAACTGGTATATCTGGTACCTCGGTCCCCTGCCTCCTAGTGTAATAATATCTGCCATAAGAAATAAAGCAGGAATGTGAAAGAGAAGAAAGTCAGGCAGGATGCCTAGAAAGTTCAACCAGACACTGGATTTCAGTGTAGTCTATATAACAGGAGGAATCACATTTTTAAAACTTCTTTTATGCTTGTTTTATACATTTCTTTTCAGTTTCTTTTAGCATTTACTAAATCTTTCAGGACTTTGCTAAGTTCCATACATCTACAAAATTTCTAAACAGGAGTCTTATGTCCCTGGAAGCAAACTATGTTGGTACTATGGTTCCTAAATCTCATCTCTACAAAAACTTTTCAGGGTTGTATCTTTTTTCTTTTTTCTCGGTAAAGAAGGTTGTTTTCTTTAATTACCTTGAATTTAATAAGTACAGTCTTATGATTGCTGACAAAAAAAAAAAAAAGGAAAAGAAAAAGAAAACTTGAGGATTGGGGAAATTAAGGACACATTTTTTTTTCCTGGGATGGTTTTGATGTAACACCAGTTTGTAATCTTCTTACTGTGAATTAATCTTCACTGTATCTGATAATAAAAGAGTTTATAATAAGTTAGAAAGCATATCCCATCAATCACATGTAAGGTTTTGACTAAACTAACGGATAAAGATTTGTAAGGAAGTTAGGTGATTTTATCTTACTGTCCATTGTATTTTTTTAATTTGGTTTTTGATGTTACTGTTTAAATTATACCAGGTTAACGAAGGGTTTGATTTTTGTTTCAAAAATATATATTAAATAGAAAAACTGAGTACACATCCTAATACTTACTTTGACTTGGGGACAGCAAAGCACAATTATAGGATCACACTTTGAGAAGTAAATAAACTGTTTGAAAATTGAGTCTGCAAAGCTAGACATAGTAACAACAGGAAACATCCCACCTACAATGCATATGGCAAAGGAGAAAGATAGTGCAGCAGACTACAGACAAAAATAATAGCTGAGAGCTGAAAACAAGTATTCTGCTTTACAACCTTAGATCTGTCATCTCAAAAATAGAGATAATCTTTCTTCAAAATATAATATGGTGATGTGAGCATATTTTAATTTATAAGAAAAATCTTTTTCTTTAGGTATCCCATATCATATTTTTGCATTCTTTATAGTGGAGGGTACAGTGTCTCCTGTATGTTTTAAACCTTATTATTTTTCTGGTGTATATTTGTTGTTTTGTCTTCTAGGGACACATACTATTTTTACTTTACTAATGTGCCAAATTTTAAGAAATTTAATACTTAAAAAACCGAATATGCAAAGTTCGTAAAGTAAATGGTGAGAAGATTTCACTGAAGAATTGCTTTAAATAGAAAGCTCTTCTGATGTACTTAAGTGTTTGTAAAGTCACTTCCTACCCTGGGCTAAAAGAGACACAAGAAAACTCGAGGCTTAAAATGTTGGAAATCACTGTTGCTTGAATAGTAAGCAGAAATGAGGGTAAATCATTTCTGAAATTTTAAGTATAAACTAATGAAAAATTGCTTTGCTATAGAAATTGCATTTTCATCTAATTGAATATATTCATTTTATTAAGTGGGTTACTACTGTGTATTCTTTAATTTCATTATCTTCAAGATTAATTTATAGAGTCTATATGAAAATACTACGTGGAATAGGAGTTATATTTTATAAGGAGTTGCTGTGTTTTAAGGAGTTATGTTAAAATCACATTATCTGGTGAGTATCAGTTAACCACAAGGGTACTGGCCAGTCAGTTATGTTTCAAAATACCTGTTACTTAGTTTGAGAAAAAGTGACTTTGGGCACATATTCCTGCTTCTTATTTTGTAAAAGGGAATGCTGTGGTTTGTAATACTAGGCTATTGTCTAGTTTGATTCAAAGCACCCTACTCCATTCAGCCTGGGCAAGATAGTGAGACCCCATCTCTACAAAAAATTTAAAAATTAAGGGCGGGAGGAGGGAGAGGATCAAAAAACTATGTATTGGGTACTATGCTTATTTCTTGGGGGACAAAATAATCTGTGCACCAAACTCCTGTGACATGCAGTTTACCTATCTGACAAACCTGCACATGTACCCCTGAACCTAAAATAAAAGTTAAAAAGTAATAACTAAATAAATAACAAATAAGCTAGACATGGTGGCACGAGCCTGTAGTCCCAGAAGGAAGAGGTGGGAAGACCCCTTGGGCCAAGAGGTCAAGACTGCAGTGAGCCATGATTGTGTGACTGCACTCCAGCCTTTCATAAAAAAATCCCTGCAAAAGTACCCTACTGGTAGATAATATCTTCTTTAAAATTATAAATAATGTCATGTTCATTAAATCTGAGTGTGTATACTATATGGACAGAATAGATTATCCAGCCTTTTGATTCTTTAATTCTATCTCTCTGTGATCTAATTAAATAAAACTAAGTTACTTTGATGTATATATGGGTATTTATATCATTAATTCATAATAAGGCAAAATAAATAATTGCTGTAAGTGACAATGATAGCTTTTTAAAAAATATAGCCAACATTATTTCTGTTATATTTATTCAAACTCCCAATTTTGATAACAAACACAATTTAATCTTTATCATATATGTGTATCCATTAATTTATTTTTGGCCCCATCCTTAACAGTTAAACATATTATGGCAGTAGTTTTTGTTTTTGCGTGCGTTTTTCTCCTAGGTCTGGAATAACTATTCTTGGCCCTGTGGGTGCACATTAAAATCATGTAGGACCAGGCCCTAAATTTTAAATCAAAATCTTTGAGGGTGGAGGCCCTGGTATTTTTTAAAGCCCCTCACGTGATGGCTTTACAAAATAAGCCACAAAAGCACTGGTAGATGTTATCTACCAGTGATATGCTTTTGTGGAGTTTTGTTTGTTTGTTTGTTTTTGAGTCAAGATCTAGCTCTGTCACCCAGGCTGGAGTGCAGCAGATCGATCATGGGTCACTATAGCCTCAACCTCCGGGCTTAAGTGATCCTCTAACCTCAGCCTCCTGGGACTAAAGGCTCATGCCACCATGCCCAGCTTATTTATTGAAGTCCAGCCAGTATCGAGAATTACTGTGCTAGGGCTATGATCCCCTGTGTTAACATTTTCTTACCTTGCTCTTGAAGGATCGTTAAACACCAGTTCAGCGGGAGTTGGAGGGCTGACGACACTACAGAATCTGGACTCTATGACTTGTTTTGGGAGTAACAGGAGGGTGTGATGAGGAATTTCTGTGAAGGTGACTTCTGGATCCTCAGCTTCAATTACTGAAACTATGGAGAGACATGAAAGCACCCCACCCTGGCTCAGGTCAGGAAAGAATTAGGAAAGGGGACTTCTGACTGGTTAGGTGAAATTGAGGAAGGGTTAGAAGTTCAGGAAAGTAATACTTAAAAGTAGCAGATTGTATAGACACTCTTGTTCTGAAGTACCTTGAAATGGATTTGGAGAAGAACCACCATCAGGCCATCATGGATGATCTTTCTCAGGAGAAAGATGAGAACCAGTTTACAACAGGCCATCTAGTTTAACAGCTTTCACTCTTGTACCTGTACACACGTTACACACTTATGCATACTCATGTACATCATACACACAAACACTCGTTATTCTAAAGCAAGTAAGATGATGCAGAGATTGATTACTGGGGCAAAAGAAGGTTCTGCCTTGGTCTTCACTGCCTTTCTTCTGCTTTCCACCCATCTTTCCTCTCTCCAAAAACGTAAAAATCCTTTAATACCTACTTGCTTGTACTTGAAATTTTTTAAGGGGAACAAACTTTCTTCTTAAACAAATAAGAAAGTCTTAACATGGAAATATACACAGAAATCTTCTCAGAGCATTGTATGGTCTTTTAACAAGTTAAAGCCATCTTTATCCTTTCCTATATTTTAATCTGAGAGAGAGTGATAAGGAGAGAAAAGCTCTGGCCACCTAAAGGGGACTGTCTTCTACTTCGTTGTTTACTATTTACTTTTAATTGTGAAGAAAACCTAAAAATATATGTGCAAAAGTACTTATAACCTACCAAACCTCTGCTGAGCACTTTAGTTGCAGATACCTCATTAGCATATAATACTCTTGCTTTCAAGAGATGTGGAATTTCTCTTTTATAAGAATCTATGTGGATATAAATAGTGGTGATCAAGGCACTCTTACACTAAGAGTTCAGTGATGATACATCTCTGTCCTTTCTTGGCAATTTTTGCTACCACTTATTTTTAGTGCCTATATAACATTTTAAAGTTGCATCCTCCTTTTTATGACTGATGAGAAGCATATGCCTCTATGAGGAAGAAAAGGTATTTATGACTTACAGAAAAAAATTTCTCACAGCTATGAGTAAGCTATAGGGAACTGAAAACAAGAGGCCAAAGAACCTTTTTTTTTTTAATGGCCTTGGTTACATAAAGATATTTAGACCAGCTTTCAAAAATAACAACAGTTTTTAAAATTTACCATATCGAGCCTCAGTACGTTACTCTAAAACACAGCTTTATAATTCCTCTATAATCTACATTAAATGAAGAGTAAAATAAAACTACAAATTTAGGAAGATGAGGAGGACCAAAAAAACTACAAATAAGGTAAATAAGAAAAATTGCAAACCTCAAATCTCTTACAAAGAAAATTATGATATTAATAGTTTCCTTACTCACATTTGGTAATTGTATAAAGACTGCAGAGTTACTACCTGTACATCTGAAAAAGGAGAAAAAGGACCTAACCAGTGTTGCTGAAAGAAATTTTACAAATAAAGGGATCGATCTGGTAGCTAGTCAGGTTTATTTTTACCTGGGATTTAGGGCTTCCTGAGGCAATGTAGCCTTTACCCTTTTTTAGGTCTTAGCTCCCTTTGAAAATCTGATGAAATCATTAGATTTGGGGGGTAGGATGTCTTGTATAAAAAATTTTGTATGGGCTTGTTTATGTATTTCAGGGAGTTTGTGAGTGCTCTGAAAACGAATGAACTCCTAGACCACCTGTATCGGAATCACCTGAGTTGCATATTAAAATTGCAGACTATTGGACTCCACCCTAATCTTATTGTATTAGAATTTCTAGGCCTGGCACTGTGGCTCACACCTGTAATCCCAGCACTTTGGGAGGCCAAGGCAGGTGGATCACGAGGTCAGGAGATTGAGACCATCCTGGCTAACACAGTGAAACCCTCTCTCTACTAAAAATACAAAAAAAAAATAAAAAAATAAATAAATAAATAAATTAGCCGGGCATGGTAACGGGCACCTGTAATCCCAGCTACTCCTGAGGCTGAGGCAGGAGAATCGCCTGAACCCAGGAGGCGGAGGTTGCAGTGAGCCAAGATCGTGCCACTGCACTCCTGTCTGGGCGACAGAGCGAGACTCCTTCTCAAATAAATAAATAAATAAATAAATAAATAAATAAAAGAATAGACTTTCTAGTTACTTGGGCTCAGGAATCTCGATTTTAACAAGGATTGCCTGATGGTTCTCTTTCCATCACTAAAGTTTGAGAATCACTGCTCTAGAGCTTTATGGATTACACCAGTTCTGCCTTTGGCCTAGAAGCAGGTTTTCTTATTCCCTGTTCAGTGATACTTGACTCACCATATGTTGCCTACCAATTTCTTACCCATCTACAAAATCAGGATTGTAAAGAAAGATATTTGTGCTGGGTTGATAATTTTAGTTGAAGGAAATAAGTCATTAGAAATACATATTTTAGATCCTGGGTCTGTCAGTACCTATGATTTGCAAAATAAGTAAATTTAACTTATTTCCAGTCTTTTGTAAAACATATTTATTTGCTCTAAAAATGTATCTGCAGTTATTTAAGTGTTTAATACATCAGACTGGGATTTTCAATTATAGCTACTTGAAAATACTGCTAACTCAGAATAATTGAGGTCGGATCCAGTGTAAATTTTGGGGAAGCATGACTTACAGAATTAAATTAAAAATATATGCAGTTTAACTTCAGATGTACGTAGTGATATGAACTGTCTCCAAGAAGAGTCATCTTTATATCTGAATAAAGCTTATTTGTAATGCATATATTAAGTGGTGTTATGTAAATCAATGCTTTTAAGATAATTTAAAAACTGCTTGAAAATAATATGCAAAATTTGACCAAACATTTCCTTGCAAATCTTGTTATAGTCTTAATTTATTTTTGCTGGTTTACTTCACAGATAAATTTAGAATTGAACTTTAGTCTAGTAGGGACATGCCATTATCTCATTTCCAATTATTGGATCTGGATTAATGAGTGAGTATGCCCATGGGGCTGAACTATTTAGTATTAAGCAGAAACATTTTTATACCATGACACTGAGAACCAGGTTACAAGTCTAGTATTCCTGTGACTTTTTTAAACACAGAAGAAAAAGTTTCCTAGACAAGGATTATGCGATGTATTTTAGTCAACTTTCTCATCAAATGTGTTGTTGGGAGTCACGGGAGACCAGGTAAAATAATGTAGATGACTCAGTGAAGGATACTTGTTGCTAAGAGGAAATAAATAAATATAAGATGATGAGTGGGTAAGTCAGAAATACCTTTTCTGTGTGGGAAAAATATATGCTATTGTTATTACTATTCATTTGTATAATAAAAGTGCCTGTTAATGTTTATCTGTGTCTTTCTTAAAAGCAAATTAAAATTAGTTCAGTAAATATTATGTAAAATCTGTTATTCCTAAAGTCCTTATTTCTGAGAAACTACATGAAAATACCTTATAAAAATTTTTCATGTCTCCTATGGTCATCCAAATTTATGTAAAGATAATAGTTTTGGTAATTACTCTACAAAGATTAAAATTTAGTTGGTGATTTCCCTGCTGCCTCTTATTTTCCTCAGTAAAAATTTATGTTTTACTATAAGATGATACTGATTTTTATGGTATATTGTTTGGTAACTGTTGAATTCAATTTCTTGGTTCCCTTTGACTTTGTCCTCATGTATTCCTCAGTGGCGCACACGTGCACACATGCACACAAATACATCATTATGTCTCTGTAATAAGAGGTGTATTATATTTTCCTATTTGACAAAATGGAGTATAATGGTTATAATAGCAGCTTACTTTTGATAAGCGTACTAACTGGTACATAGTAAATACATACTGTGCATGCATTATGTCATTTATATCCACACAGTCACCTTCAAATTCAGTACAATTTGTATTCCCGTTTTACAGATGAGAAAGCATATTTTGGTGAACTCAACCAAGGTTACATGACTAGTAAATTTTAAATGAGATTTAATTTCAGTACTTACTAACCATTATGCATTGCTAAATTTGAACATTACTTTAAAATATAACTTCTAAAGTGTTCATATTAGAAACCTATAAATATACATAGATTTGTCTCCTCTCTTACGAAGAACACATGAAGGAAAGAAAGATATTAATTTGGTGGCTTATCATATGCCAGACATAGATATAGATGCTTGTATGTATGGCATTTAATCCTTATCTGTGAGGTAGGTCTTTTTATGCCTTTCTATAGATTTAAATTAAAGGTTCAGTTTAGTAACTTGCTCGAGGTTATACAGAATGTGGCAGAACTAATATCTGACCCCATAGTGCTTATAACTGGTAAATAAACAACTTGGATTAGGTCACTTTCTCAAGTGTACTGGAGACTAATTGCTCCAAGATAAAAGGCAGATAGACTGTTACCTACTAGTAAATGTAAAGAGGAAATGTCATTTCTCTTCTTTCTCCATTGTCTTTATGCTATTAAGTATGTTAGAATTTGTATATAGCAATCTAGAAATTTTGAAAACTTCCCCTCTTAATCCTAGAATGGATAATAAAATTGTTTCCTAATTTATGTACACAATCATGGTTCACACTAGTCAAACAGTTCACCAAGGGCTTGTTGTTAGTATTGTCTTAATGAAGTGCCTTTTTTTTTTTTTTTTTTTTTTTTTTTTGAGACAGAGTCTCGCGGTGTTGCCAGGCTGGAGTGCAGTGGTGCAATCTCGGCTCACCACAACCTCCGCCTCCCAGGTTCAAGTGATCCTCCTGCCTCAGCCCCTCGAGTAGCTGGGACTACAGGCGTGTGCCATCACACCCAGCTAATTTTTGTATTTTTAGTAGAGACGGGGTTTCACCATGTTGGCCAGGACGGTTTTGATCTCTTGACCTTGTGATCCGCCCACCTTGGCCTCCCAAAGTGCTGGGATTACAGGCATGAGCCACTGCACCCAACCTTAATGAAGGCTTTTTATACACTAGTGATGTTATGAAAGAAATAAAATACAAGGTTTTCGAAGTTTTGTGATTGGTTGAGAAATCTACTTAAACACATCAAAATAATTCAGCATATGATTAAGTTGTAGACTGAGTGGTTAGCAGTATAAGTCCCTGAGGTCTTTCAAACTGAGTATTTATGTAATTACTCATTAACATCTCCCACAAACCTCTTTTGCTTGTATTTACTTTCTTGGATGGTGCTGTCCCTGTCTACCCCAATTCCCCAAGTTAGAAATATCATAGTCCTCTTCCACCCCTTCTTTACCTCCATAGTCAGCCTATCACCAAATCGTATAGAATTGTTTTCCTTCCTAATTCCTAAGTCCGCTCAGTTCTATCTTTGTGTTATGCACATTGCTGCTAGTTTAGTTCATTCCTTGACTAGAGAATGGTAGTAAGTAATCTCCTTAGCTAATTAATCTGCCTCTGACTTTTCTGTACTCTGGGCCATATTCTGTCTTTTGCTGAGTTGTTACCAAACATAAACCTGGTTATGTCACTACCCTAATTAAAAACCTTGTGGATTGTTCCTTTTTATTGGTTTATATAAAATCCTATTTTCAATCTGAAGTATAAGCCCTTCATCTTTATATCTTATGTCAACTTAGACCTCCAGCTTCATCTCCCATTACTTTTCCCCTTATGATGTCTTTCATCGCAGCTAACCAACCCACTTCCTCTTCAAGATTATGTTGTGCTCCTTCAGGTCTCCTTGGCTTTATTCACATGCTGTCTTTTGTACAGTGCCTCTTGCCTTATCCACTGTCTCCCCCAACATAGTTTTACTGCAAATCCCAAATCAGGTGTCACTTCTTATCAAATCATCCTGGCCATCCTCAATTTTCCCCTTCTTAGTTAATGATGCACTCATTTAACTTTTATGATCATATAAGATGGTTGTTTTTTTACTTCTAGTGTCAGTCACCAAGATTATCAAGTTCTTGCTTTGTTTTCTTTTGCATCTTCAAATCTAGCTCAAGCCATAACTAAGACCATGACCTTTACTAAGGGTCATACAAACCTGAATTGAAGTAAGGGCTCTGCAACCAAAAGAAATGGAGTACATTTTGCGTGGAGACAGAGGAAGTTTTAAAAAGGATCATGGGCAATGGCAATTCTAGATGTTTTTTACATCCTGCTTGGCCAGAATTAAGCAGATAATACCTGAATATACGAGAAGGCCAAATTGGGAGATGTAGAAATTGTTAACCAATATTTTTACCAAGTGCCTTGATAAATGTTTGTGTTTGTGCCACACAGGCACTAGGGGTACAAAGATGAATAAGAAAGGAACTCTGCCTTTGAAGAAATTTAGAGTGACTAGGGGAGAAAGACATGTAAATAAATGTATAAGGTCATCTAGAGTATTCATTTAATGAAGTAATTGTAAAGAACAGCAAGCAACCACTTAGGATGAGAATACCTCCTTTGGCAGAATGGCCCTAAGTCCAAAGTGATACCTTAGCTAAATTTTAAGTTATGAGTTGGAATTCTACAATTGCATAAGATGGTAAGGGCTTCCTAGACTAAGAGAACAGCATGTGCAAAGACACGAGTTACAAAAGCAGCAAAACTAGAGAAACCATTGTTTGTGAGATCTCATACATAGAGTTGTTTATTTTAGAAAGCCTCACAAAGAAGCCTCTAGTAAGATACTGTAGATAATTCCCAACTTAAATATGCTGTCTTGAAACAATCCTCTTATATCAATTTATTCATTGTTCTTTCCCTTTGAAGTCTAAGGTGGATAGGGGCATAAACTTTGGTGATGATTAATTTAAGTTCAGATCCTGAAACATTCTGTCTCTGTAAAGCATCATTTTACCTGTTCAAAAAAAGGTTACTAACTACCTCCTTCTCATGGTTTTTGGAAGATTCAGAGGGATAATGCATACAAAGTTGTTGACACAATGCCTGGTCCGTCTCAGTAGGACTCGAGAAATGTTAACATATATTAAGGCTCCTGATAGGCCTTTTTTGGTTTCCCACCCATTTATTTAAGAAATTGTTTTTTAAATGCTTACTACTTATTAGGTGCTGGAATTATGAAGATGAGTAAACACAACATCTGCCTTTGAAGAATTTATAGTTTAGTGAGGATATGCACATACCTATGTTGAAAATCAACAATAATAATACAACCTGGCAAATGCTTTAGTGGAGAGTTTTGTGAGAAAATAAGAACTGAGAAAAGAAGCCGCCAAATCTATTTTTGGACATTAGCAAAGTCTTCTTCAGGGAGCACTGACCTGAAGAATGAAGAGCAGTTTGCTGTTTTGGAGTTGGAGAGTAGAGAAGAGTAAGGCTTTCCAGGAATGAGGAAGAACATATTCAAAAGGAGGGTCAAGGTAACATGACTTGTTCAGTAAAAGACAAATGATAAGAAAACCACTAAAAGAGAAAAGAATGGAGTAGAAAACAGAGGACTGAATGTACTCAGGGGAAACTCTGTGGTTGAAAAGTCCCCCAGAAGGCCTAAAGTTACTACTTTGCTCCCTTGAGAAAAGAAGTGAATAAATTTCCTAGGGTGGGTATGAGATAAGCCTCTCTGTGAAAAATTGCCCTGTCTCATCCTGGGATGTTGGAATAGTCTAGTCCACTCTTCTTACATGAATTCTTGTGTACTCCCAGAAAGTACTGCAGTGCTCAAAGGGTGAGGCAGGAGGAGCAAAGAAATAGAATTTCATTAGTGATGTTAGTGTCTGAGAAGTGGTGCCAGCAAGAGTCATATTGACCACATTGTGGGAAATGGTAAAAAAGAAGCATTTTCCTGTGGTTGCTGGGAGTTTCTGGTAACATGTGATGGATTGACTGGACTGTAGCTTGACTAGACAGTGGCATCAACCTGTGTATTCACTGGTTCTCAGCTGCCCAGTGATTGTACCCAGAAACTGGACATCACCTTAGCTCTTTAGAAGCTAGAAATCTTGTGGCAAGTGGATTTCGTGCACCATCCATTCTTCACTTTGCTTTGAACCAAGGGAGGAATTTGGATAGCACTAGAAATTTATGGAAATCTGTCAGTGGGAGCTAGCCATAGAATAATTGTTATGCTGTGGTTTTGCACTCCAGCTGTATTTCTAGCTAGTTAGGACTATGGCAATATCTTTTGAACAAGAAAGCAAACAGGAAAAATAACTGAAATTTGTTGAGTAATTACTGTTTACCTAGTACTGTAGTACTTGCTTTCTGTGGGGGAGAAGGGTGGCTTTCATTTTTTATTGAGGTAAAATCCACATAGCATGAAATTTACAATTTAAATCATTTTAGAGCATGCAATTCCTTGGTTTTCAGCATATTCACATTTTTGTGGAGCCATCACCAAATCTAATTCCAGAATATTTCTATCTCCCTGAAAAGAAACCCTATACCTGTTAGCAGTAACTTCCAAGTACCTCCCTCCTTCCCATATCGTCTGGCAACTTCTAGTCTACTTTCTAACTATATAGATTTGCTTATTCTGGACATTTCATATAAATGAATTTATATAATATGTGGCCTTTTGTGTCTGGCTTCTTTCACTTGAATAAGGTTTCATTCATATGCTAATGTGCATCAGTACTTCAATCTCCTTTATGGCTAAGTAATTTTTCATATGAGGATGTACCACATTTTGTTTATCCATTCATCAGTATTTGGTGATGGACATCTGGGTTGCTTTCACTTTTTGGTTATGGATAATGCTGCTGTAAACATTTGTGTACAAGTTTTTGTGTTAACATATATTTTAACACATTCCTAGGAATGTAATTGCTGGGTCTCATGGTGACTCTATGTTTAACATCCAAGGAACTACCAAACTGTTTTTCAAAGTAGCTGCACCATTTTCATTAGCATACGAGGGTTCCAGTTTCTCAGCTTCCTTACCAACACTTGTTGTGTCTTTTTTGTTACAGCCATCAAGTGAGGTTGAAATTTTATCTCATTTGGTTTTGATTTGCCTTTACTGATGGCTAACGATGTTCCAAATGTTTTCATGTGCTTATTAGCCATTTGCATACCTTCTTTAGAGAAATGTTTATTCAAATCCTTTTCCATTTTAGAGAAATGATTATTCAAATCCTTTTCCACTTTTTCGTGTTTGCCTTTTCATTATCTTTTTATTATTGAATTGTAAGAGTTCTTTATACATTTTGGATACTAGACCCTTATCATATATGATTGCAATATTTTCTCCCATTCTGTGTGCTGTCTTTTCACTCTCTATAATGTCATTTGATCCACAAAAATTTTGTCTCAATAATTTTTTTCTTTTGTTACTTTAACTTTTGGTGTTAATTTAATAGATTATTGCCTATTCCAAGGTTATGAAAATTTACATTATATCTTGAAGAGACTATATCCCCCCATTGAATTGCCCTAGCACTCCTGTCAAAAATCTGTTAATCAAAGACATGTGGGTGTATTTCAGGCTTTCAGTAATATCCTGTTGGTCTGTACGTCTCTCCTTATATCAATACTACACTGTTTTGATTACTGTAGCTTTGTGTAGTAAGTTTTGAAATCAAGAAGTGTGTTTCCTTACTATAGTTTTTTTGTTTCTTGATTTTTCTAAGATTGTTTTAGCTATTCAGGGTTCCTTATATTTTCATATGAATTTTAAAATCAGCTTGTCCCTTTCTGAAAATGAAAAATAGACTGTTGAAATTTTAGTAGGAGATTGTATTGAGTCTGTGGATCAGTTTGGGAATTATTGCCATCTTAACAGTAGTAACTCTTCCAGTCCATGAACAGTATGTCTTTTCATTTCTGTACATTTCCTTTAATTTTTTAAACAGTGTTTTGTAGTTTTCAGTGGACAAGTCTTACACTTCTTGGCTAAATTTATTCTTAAGTATTTTATTCCATTTAATGCTATTGTAAACAGAATTGTTTTCTTAATTTCATTTTTGGTTTGTTCATTGCTAGTTTTTAGAAATACAACTGCTTTTTGCATATTAATTTTGTATTCTGCATTTTTGCAGACCTTATTAGCTCTAAAATATTTTAGTGGATTCTTCCGGGTTTTTTATACATAAGATTATGTCATCTGCAAATAGAAATAGTTTTACTTCTAATCTGGATGTCTTTTCATTTCTGTTTTTCTTTTTTTTTTTTCGCCCAGTTTCCCTGGCTGGAATGCTTAGTACAATATTGAATAGAAGAGGTGTGAGCAGACATCCTTTTCTTGTTCCTGATTACTTAGGGGAAAGCTTTTACTGTCTTACCATTATGTTAGTTTTGAGGTTTTCACAGATGTTCTGTCAGGCTGAGGAAATTTCCTTCTGTTCTGTTTGTTGAGTGTGTGTGTGTGTGTGTGTGTGTGTGTGTGTGTGTGTGTGTGTTGTCATGAAAGGATGTTATATTTTGTCATATGCTTTTTCTGCATTTGTTGAGATGATCATATGGTTTAATATAATCACAATTATGATATAATAATTCTTCTAGATTAAATTTTATAGTATTTTGTTGAGTATTCTTGAATTTATATTTATAAGAGCTATTGATCTATAGTTTTCTTGGGATTTCTTTGGCTTTTGTGTCAAGATATGCTGGTCTTACAGTATGAGTTAAGGAGTATTCTTTCCTCTTCTGTTTTTTTAAAGAGCTTGATAAGGACTGACATTAATTTTTCTTGAATGGTAGAATTCGCCAGTGAAGCCATCTAGTCCTGGGCTTTTTATTTCTATAAGGTCAGTAGTGACATTCTTGTTATCATTCCTAATTTTACCCTTCTCTCTTTTTTTTCTTGGGTAGTCTAGCTAAAGGTTTGTAAATTTTGTTGATTATTTTAAAGAACAAACTTTTGCTTTTGTGGGTTTATTTTTCTCTTTTGTTCTAGCCTCAGTTTTGTTATCTCTGTTGTAATGTTTATTTTCTTATGGTATAAGACTGTTATTGAGTTTTTTTTTTTTTTTTTTTTTGAGATGGAGTCTCACTCTTGTAGCCCAGGCTGGAGTGCAATGGTGCAATCTTGGCTCACTGCAACCTCTGCCTCCCAGGTTCAAGCAATTCCCCTGCCTCAGCCTCCTGAGTTGCTGGGATTACAGGCATGTGACACCACACCCAGCTAATTGTGTATTTTCAGTAGAGATGGGGTTTCTCTGTGTTGGTCAGGCTGGTCTCGAACTCTCGATCTCAGGTGATCCACCTGCCTTGGCCTCCCAAAGTGCTGGTGTTACAGGCCTGAGACACCATGCCCAGCAGAGATCTTTTTTATTGTGGGCATTTACAGCTATAAATTTCCCTCTTAGCACTGCTTTTTCTGCATACTATAAGTTTTCATATGTTATGTTTTCGTCTTAATTTATCTCAAAGTATATCTAACTTTCCTTCTGATTTGTTCTTTGACCTATTGATTATTTAGGAGTATGTTGTTGAATTTCCACATATTCATGAATTTTCCAAATTTCCTTCTATTAAATTCTCATTTCATTCCATACAGTCTGATAAACCCACTTTGTTTGGTTTCAAACTTTAAAAAATATATCGGTGTTTGTTTTCTATGCCATAAACATGTGACTTATCCTGGAAAATGCTGTGTATTTACTTTAGAAGAATGTGTATTCTGTCACTTGAGTCCAGGAGGCAGAAGTTGCAATGAGCCAATATCACATTACTGCACTCCAACCTGGGCGACAGACCCAAGAGTTCGTCTCAAAAAAAAAAAAAAAAAAAAGAGAGAGACAATGTGTATTCTACTTGGGGTGGAGTCTCCTATAGATGTCTATTAGTTTCTAGGATTGTTCAAGCCTTCTTTTTTCTTGCTCATCTTCTATTTAGATTTGTATGTTCATTATCAAAAGTGTAGTGTTGAAGATGCCAACTGTTATTGTTGAACTGTCTATTTCTCCTGCAATTCTGTGAGTTTTTGCTTTATGTATCTTGGGGCTGTATTGTTAGGTGCACATATGTTGATAACTGTTATATCTTCTTATTGAATTGACCCGTTTTTCATTATATGATGCACTTTTCTTTCATGACAGCTGTGTCTCAGTAGCACTGTTTTTACAAAATACTTTAGCATTTACATTTAAAGTTTTTTATTGCCTAATATTTAATACAAAATAAAATACACAACATGGTAAATTTTGAAGCTTAATAATAAAATAAATATCTATGAACCTGTAATACCATAATAATGAGAATATAAACATTTTATTATTCTGTGTTGCTCTCTTATCCTATCTGCTTGACTCCTCCCAGAGGTAACTACTAATGTGAATTTTGGGTTTAATCATCTCTTGCTTTTTAAAAAATAGTTATATAGTCTATTTATCTTTAACAGTATATTTAGTTTGGCCTGGTTATAAAATTTATACAAAGGAACTTACACCATATGCATTCTCTGGCTTATTTCACCCAGTATTATATTATTTGAGATTCATACATATGTTGGTGTTGGTGTGTGTACTTATAGTTTGCTCATGTTCATTGATTTGAAGCATTCTATTTAAATGTATTATAATTTATTTATCCATCCTACTAGTGATGGGTATTTGAGTTATTTCAAGTTTATTTATTTGCTGTTAGGAATACTGATCCAATGAAGTTTTTTTCTTTTCTCTTTTTTTCTTTGTATCATTTTATCTTTCTTTCTTTTTTTCTTTTTTTTTTTTTCTATGACAGGGTTTTGCTTTGTCATCCTGGCCAGAGTGCAGTGGCACAATCACAGCTCACTGCAACCTCGACCTCCTGGGCTCAAGTGATTCTCCCACCTCAGCCTGCTGAGTAGCTGGGACTACAGGTGGGCGCCACTACACCTGGCTTATTTTTAGTTTTTGTAGAGACAAGGCCTCCCTATGTTGCTCAGGCTGGTCTCAAACTCCTAAGCTCAAGGCGATCCTCCTGCCATGGCCTCCCAAAGTGCTGGGATTACAGACATGAGCCACTGTGCCCAGCGTGATCCAATGAACTTCTTTGATTATGTATAAATTCTCTTAGTTCATATGTTCAAGAATTACTCTGAGGCTACACTACTACAACAGTAGCCACTAGCCATACATCACGACTTACATTTAAATTTTATTTGATTTAAATGAAATTTTAAAAGTTAGTTATTTATCTCTTTTATTTGTGCTTAACAGCCCACATATGACAGTGGACATAGAGGACAACGCAGATATAGAACATTTCTTTTATCACAGTAAGTTCTTTGGATAACACTGCTCTAGAACAATACTTTCTAAAATGTGTCCCATGAATCACAGTGGTGATCCGTAAGCTGTCACTGGTCTGCAACAAAATAAGTACAAATATGGAGACTTTTTAGAACATTTTATGGCAACTTCACGTTGCTGCAACATCCAAGTACATGATCACTTTTACAGTCATTTTAGAAATTTAGTATTTTAGAATTTAGTAATTCATTTTCATTGTATTTTACATAAGTATTAATTAGCAAAAGATTAGAAAGAAAGAAAAACAAGAGTTTGCTCACAGTGAATACTTTGAGAAACACTACCCTTGGGTATGTTTAGGTGGAATTGCAAGATCACAGTGTATGCTTATGTTCAACTTTATTGGATAAATTCACTACGTTTTCCAAAATTATTGTGTCAATATTATATTCCCACCATCAGAGTATGAGAGTTTCCATTGTTTTGCTGTTTCTCTGTCCCTGGCTTTTGTGTCCCTCATTTTAGATTTAAATTTTGCCAGGTGATGGATGTGAAATGGCATCTTATAATTTTAATTTACAGTTCCCCAATTGCTAATGAGATAAATATATTTTTATATGTATATAATGCATTCATGATTCTACTTTAGATTCATAGGGATTCTTTTTATGTTCTGATACTGATCTGCTTCTTAAGTGTGTTGCTAATGTCTTCTCCAAATTTGTGATTTGTGTTGTCTTTGATAAATAGAAATAGTTAATTTTAACTTAGTAGAAATTTTCTTATTTTTGTATGTGTGTGTGCGTGTATTGTGTTTAAGGTCTCCTAGAATTCTTTTTTGTCTGTTTAAGTTTTAAAGCTTTATCTTTCACATTTAGGTCTTTATACCCATCTGCACCTTGATTAAATTTCCGTTCAGGGTTTGGGATAAGGATCTAATTATTTTTGCCTTCTTTGATTAACAATCCCTTCACTGCTTATTGAATAGGTTTTTCTTTTTTTTTTTTTTCTTTTTTTATTTTGAGACAGAGTCTTGCTCTGTCTTCCAGGCTGGAGTGCAGGAGTGCAGTGGTGCCATCGCTCCCTGCAACCTCCGCCTCCCGGGTTCAAGCGATTCTCCTGCCTCAGCCTTCTGAGTAACTGGGACTACATGCGCGTGCCACCACGCTCGGCTAATTTTTTGTATTTTTAGTAGAGATGGGGTTTCACTGTGTTATCCAGGATGGTCTCGATCTCCAGACCTCATGACCCGCCCGCCTCGGCCTTCCAAAGTGCTGGGATTACAGTCGTGTGCCACCGCGCTTGGCCGTTTATTGAATAGGTTTTTCTTTACCATTGATTTTCAGTGTCTCCTTGGTCTTATAATTGTATTTCCATATGTGTATGGGTCAGCTTCTGAACTCACTATTGTGTTGCATTGGTGAAGTAGTTCTGAATCTTCCCTTAATTGCTGTAAGTTTAGATAAGTCTTGGTAGTTGATAATGTAAGACATGTCACATAGTACTCTGTTAGAAATTTCATAATCAGTTTGGCATGTTCTATAAGAAATCTTGTGGGGATTTTGATGGAATTGATCTAATTATTATAATTTAATTTTATGTCCAAGACCATGGAATACCTCTCCTTATATTTTACTCTACTTTAACGTCTCTCAAAGTTTTGAAATCTTCCCTGTAACTTTCTTATGTGTAGTCTTGGTACTTTAAAATTCATTTTCTACCTCTTGCTTATATAAAGAAATGCAGTTGTCTTTTGTACATTTTTTTATATATTTGTTTAGAAAGCTTACTAAACATTCTTTTTAAATCTGATAACATATTTGTGGATTCTTGGGTATTTTTAAAAGAGATGATCATTCTCAGCAAATAATAATGCTTTTGTTTGTTCTTTTCCAAACCTTATGCCTTTTATTTCTTCTTTTGCTTTTTGTGGGCTAGAATCTACAGTGCTGATAATGAGCATTTTCTTGTAATGTTGCCAGTCATAAAAGGAATACGTTCCAGGTGTTACCTTTAATTATTACTCTTTTTTTCTTGTGGATGCCTTTTATTATATTTAGACAGCTCAAATTTTTGTATAAAAGTTTATATCACGCACAAATATTGAGTTATATTAAATGTGTTTATTGAGATGATAACTGTATAGTTTTTTCTCTTTTAATCTGTTAATGCAGTGAATTATATTTATATGATTTCCTAAATTTAACCAAAACAGACTTTGTCATGTTATCTTTTTTATACTTTCTGGATTAGTTTACAGATGTTTAGTTTTGGCATTTTGCATTTCTGTTTAGGAAGTGAGATTGGCCTGTAATTGCCCTTTTTAAAAAATGAGTCCATACGTTTTTTCTATTCTCTGGAAGTTTTGTATAAGATTAGAATTGTGTTTCTTGAATGCATAGTGAAATTCATCTATAACCTATTAAGGTTGCTTTTTGTGTGTGTGAGAGCATTTTTAACTTTTGATGTAATTTTTTTTTTAGTTGTCAAAGGATTATTTAGAGTCTCAGTTTATTCTTTAGATAATACATTGTATTTTTCTACGAATTCATCTAAGTCATCTGTGTTTTCACATTCATTGACATAAAGTTCTTAATATTCTCTTATTTGTTTAATGTATGCATTATTTGTTGTTTCATTTTAAATATTTAATATTTTTATTTATGCTTCTCTTGTTCTCGAATAACCCTGTAATAAGATTAGCAATTTTATTAATCTTTTTGAAAAGGAACCAGTTTTTTGTATTACTGTTATTTTCTATTGTGTGCTATTTACTATTCCATTTATTTTTGTAACTGTCTTTTCTGCCTTCTACATTTTAATTTTGCTTTATTCATTATGTATTCTGCTGACTTTTAACTTTTAAATTTATATACTTTCTCATTAATTTTCAGCCTTTTATCTTTTTAAACTTTAAGTACTTACGGCCATTAATTATCCTTTAAGTACTGCTTTAGCTATATTTCACAGGCTTTGTTATATAAGGTTTTTGTTTTTTTTAGTAAGTGTCTTCTAATTTCTATTGTGATTTTTTTTTCAGTGACTCCTGAGTTTTTTAGAAGTGTTTTTGCCCCAAGCCTGTGAGGATATCTTTTTTTATTATTGATTTCTATGTACATTTAATGGCATTGTGGTCATGGAATGTGGACTGTATGAAGACCTTGTTACTTAATTAGTAGAAAGATTATAATTCTTAGAAACCCATACTGCAATACTAGAATAAATTTTTTCCAATTTTAAATTCAATGTGCTAGAAAATCCCACAACAATATGCTTTAGGGTTTGTAATTTAACCAAATGAATTTGCAGTACTCTCATTACTTAGGTTTCTTCCTTTGAATCTGAGATCTTAAAGTTTAGCAGCTGCATGAAGAGCATGTCCACAAAATTCTTTTCTTAGTTAAAAAAAATAAAGTTAGATTCTAAAAACTTACTGAGTTGTTGTTGTTTTATTGCTGCTTTGTAATTTGTTTGCTTTTGTTTTCTGGGTCATGCAATAAGCACTAGTGTAAATCTGGTTCAAGTTTATTGATTTTAAAGAACAGATATTAAAATCTTCAATGTGATTCATAGTTTATTCCAGAATACATTACATCAAGAATGATGTTTTTTACCCTGTACATTTCAATACTTTAAACATCGCAATGAATACTGTTTTTATAGTGCTGTTTTTCAAAATTTCTCACCTCCCTACCCTTTACTTCATTTGGGGTCTGCATTTTCTTTGTATTTCCCCTTGCCCTTACTTTCTTCTTATAATACGTATTACATTTCTGTAGCATTTAAACTTTTGATGAATACTTTCCCCTGGTACTATTTCTTGGATACTCACAGAAACCCTACAAATTAAGTAATGTCCATCTTTTCCAGATAGTGAATCCAGTACTGAAATGTTAAATTAATTGTTCAATATTCCTTAGCTAGTAAGTGGGAAGAGCCAGAATTCAAACCTATCTCATCGCTTTATACTTAAATTTTTTTTCTATCGGTCTTTTTTCAGTATTTGCGATTTTATTAAGAAGGAAGTTTAGACCATGGGTGGCTTAACATGCCCTAATAGGTGAATTTTTTTTTGGCTTTCCAGATGGCTTTTATTTATTTGCATTGCAAATGCTTTTTTTTTAAAAAGAGATTTTCTGAGGCTCTTAGTTGTTTACTACTTAATATTCTCCACTGTCATTTCTCTTTAATGACTTCATTAAAAATAATTGAGCAAAGTGTTATAAAGTTTGATTCTATCTCCTAACATATTTTTCCATTATTGCTAACTACTATGTAGGACAGAAAAAATGCTTGAAGTTTCCTCAAATAGATTTTATTATTTAATTCTGTCTGACTTTAAAAGATTTGCTTCAAAAATGTCTGTTAAGCAAAAAGTATGCTTGAATTACTAATTTAAACACTTCCTGCCAGAATGCATTTTTTTGCGTATTAAACATGGCATTCCAGAAGAACATAGTGGCCTTATATGAGCTTGGTCAGAACTTCTTTTGGCTATCTGAATTTGTAAATTGTCATTGGAACACAATGAAAGTGTTTTATGAAGTGTATTTGATGGATAAGTGAGTAAATCAATGAAAAGCTTGCACATAGTTTTTTTTACAATAACTACTTACTTGAATGTGTACCTTTGTGATGTTGCTGATATTTTAGAGGTAACAACAGAACAAAGACTTCTAGATGAAGAACACTGACAAGAACTTTGTATAAATTGTTTATTGTGATATTTGCTTATATTAAAAGTCATGTATCTATTTCTGTAATTTGCAGATAGTCTAACATCATTTATAAATATTTAACTGAAGAGTTGGCAATGGCTTTTTTAATATGAAAATATTTTCAAATGTGTGAAAGCCGGTTCTGACAATTAAAAAAAAAAGTTTTCTATTTAGTTTCTACACATACAATAAATATACACACTTGGTAATTTTGTACTGGTAACCCGTAAAGAATTTTCCTGTCCTATTGCGGTTACCGTTACTGTTAAGTTTGCATACAGTAAAACAATTTTACCTTAATGCATTAGTTTATTGGAAATTTACTGTTAGCTATGTAAATATACTAGCATAATTAAAATGTTATTTGATAATCTGAATGTAAATACACTTAAAAATTACTTTTCAATTAAGAAATGTCGAAGGAGGCCGGGCGCGGTGGTTCATGCCTGTAATCCCAGCACTTTGGGAGGCCGAGGCGGGCGGATCACGAGGTCAGGAGATCGAGACCATCCTGGCTAACACGGAGAAACCCCGTCTCTACTAAAAATACAAAAAATTAGCCGGGCGTGTGGCGGGCACCTGTAGTCCCAGCTACTTGGGAGGCTGAGGCAGGAGAATGGCGTGAACCCGGGAGGCGGAGCTTGCAGTGAGCCAAGATCGCGCCACTGCACCCCAGCCTGGGAGACAGAGCGAGACTCCGTCTCAAAAAAAAAAAAAAGACAAAGGAAATTCTTCTAGTTCCTTTAAGGATTTCTCTAGCACAGGATCAGAGAGGATCTTGGTTATTGGTGACTGGTGAGATTCTGTTGGGTGTTTGGAAGCTTCAAATGCATGGAGCCACCCCTTAAAAATGTCTCACTGGAGGCAGGCACGGTGGCTTATGCCTGTAATCCCAGCATTTTAGGAGGCCGAAGCAGGTGGATGGCTTGAGTATATATACTTCGCGAGCACCGTGGGCAACATAGTGAAACCCTGTCTCTACAAAAAGTGCAAAAAAAAAAAAAAAAAAAAAAAAAAAAAAGCCAGGCATGGTGGTGCAGGCCTATAGTCCCAGATATTTGGGAGGCCATGGTGGGAGGATTGCTTGAACCTGTGAGGTCAAGGCTGCGATGAGCTTTGAACACACCCATTGCACTCCAGCCTGGATGACAGAGTGAGACCCTGTCTCAAAGAAAAAGGAAAAGAAAAGTCTCACTGGAGAGGCATACTTTATATATCTTTTAATTGTATGTTTTGTAAAAAAAAAAAGAACAAATTTTATCATACATTCTTGTGACACTTGATAAATTTTCACCATGTTTCCTTACCACAATAGTGAAGGTTAATTGTATTTGTCTGCTTGCATGTTGCATACACTGTAAACTGATTATTTCAGGACTTAACTGAGGCATGGACTGTTCTCACATATTCCAAAATATAGTGACATTTTTAAACTTGAAAGATATTTACTTGTTTTTAGTATTCTTAAGAATGCCCAGAATTTTGTTACAGAATTAAACAGAAGACTTCACAGGAGAATTGGAAAAAGCAATTACTTTCAAGTTTCCTTTTTTTATAGTGATTGATAGGGTATGATTATTTTGTTCTATAAATATATTTTTGCCATTTCTCCCTAAATGCCTTACTTTAGTCAAATCATATCTATGATTTTTACCATTCTTCACAGAGATATTTCAGAATTAGAGATAATTCTGCTGTTTATCTCATTGCCTGACCATTTCACTATCTGTTCATTGGCTAACCAAAGAGGCTCTATATGTTTCCAGTAAGATTGTTAAAAAGTTAGATAGGACTAATTCTGGTGCTGATGCTATTTATCTCTTGTTTTATTCTTCATATTCTTTCTCATACATTTTCTTCTCCATTGTAAAAAGTTTTCCCAATCCCAGAATGACTCATTTTTTGAAATAGTTTTTGCGGTTTAATTTTGCCAAGGTATTTAAAAATCAAATACTAATAATTATTACTGATTTTTTATTTTTTTGAGTTTATAATCAAAGAGGATTTTATTTTGATCGTTATTCCTTTACAAAGTGTTCTTCCCCTGTATCATAACCCTGCTTTGCTGTTCGTGATGTTAAGTCTCACTGATAGGTAAGATTATTGTAATTATCAGTAATTGGTAATAGCATTCAAATGATCAGTCGCTCAGTGGCCATTTCTTTTTTTCTTTTAGTGTTTCTCTTTTTAAGTCCACTTTATGCTTACTTTAGCAAATCTAGGAAATATTTAAAATTAGAAGAGTTTGGCACATTTGTCTTTCCTCTACCCTTCCCCCAACTCTTTCCCTCTACATAATTGACATCATATTGTGCATCTAGTTTTTCTTACTCATTGAAAAAGGGAAATCTACCATATCATAAATATGTTTTCATATTATTAAAAATTGTCAAATGTAATATTCCTTTATATGTGTACATCATAATTAGCCATTCCCTTAATGTTGGGCCTTAGGTTGTTTACAGTATTTCATTATTATATTACAGCAGTGAGTGTGTGTGTGTGTGTCATCTGTGTGTGTAATACTTTGTCAACATCTCTATTTCCAAAGACTAGAATTCTTGAAAATGAAATTCTTGAATCAGTCTATGAAAACTTTTAAAGCTATTGATTCATATCATAAACATAATTTTTAAGAAAAGTGAAGTTGATTTATATATCCTAGCTGGCAGTATATCACAATATCTAGACTGTATCTTTAGAAAGCTTTAGATTTTCTCCTCTTTAAAATCTTTAATTTTTTCAGGTCCTCAGGATTTTAAATATTTCCCATGGGTTTTTTTTTTCCGTTTTTATTTCCTTTTGTTTGAGTAAAATATATATTCATGTACCTTTTCTTTACATCTATAGAGGGCTTACTTTTTTATTCATAAATATGTAAGGATGTATTTTATAGTATGCATAGTAACATTGCATTGTCATGATGTCTGAAAATATTTTCCCATTTTGTTTACATATTAGATTGAAAGCAGAATTATTATAGAATTGCTCAACTAATTCTCTTTTTGTTGCCATCTTAACCTTAAGATGAATAGATGTAACCATATGGATATACATACATGTATGTATATACATGTATCATTTTAGCTTTTTTTTTCTGTCAGAGGAAAGCTGCAACATACTAAAGTTTGACAGTAATCCCTAGAATCTTAATTTGTAAAAAGTAAAAAACTACAAGGTTTCTACTTTCAAAACAGTTATAGTCTTTACTCAAAATGTAAATTAATAAATGTATAAAGTTTGTAATAGTATAATAATGTATAATAATAGTATAAATGAAGTTGCATAACCTGCTTTTAAAATGTGTGTAATTTTATGTATTTGACAACTTAAGCATGATAAACACTTAACTGTTTATATTCTACAAGCTCAGTGTAATGTAAAAAATTTGCTAAAGTCATTTTGTTTTAACTTCAAGTAAACAATGTTTTCTGAATTTTTTTTGGCATATGTGTGATTACTGTTACAGGTGATTAAATATCTTGTTTGAACTTTGGTTTAGGAAGTTTTAATAATTAATAGTATTTGAATCATAAAATCACTCCTGAGTTTCATTAACCATGGTGGTATGATTCTTTGGATGTTATTTCTCTTTTCTTTGCCAACATACTGTTTTATGGATTTCTCAGGTTTTACTGTTGTATTTACAACTCTAAAAGTAAGAAAAAAATCACACTCTTTTTCTAGAAAGTTTCTTAAATGCATATAGTGGTATTAACCAAATATAAATGCAGTCACTTATATTTCTTACATAGCTATAACCACCATCCTCATTAACACAATAAAGTACAACCAAGACGAAAAATAATTACAAATTATCTTGGAGAATGTCAAAATTTCTCAGCACATATTTGCGGATTCCTTGAGATCTATGACCCAGTTTGTTAAACAGTTCACTTAACCACTTTATGTTTTAGTATTCAAATAAAAACATTGCTAATAATGATATCTCCTCTTGCGTACTAATTAATAAAGAAAAACTACAAATGTTTTTCAATAAAGTTGAGGTACATGTTACTTTTATAATTTCCTTTAGGAGTTGTGGGTGGGTTGAGTACCAATGCAGCTTCATCACAATTTAAGTCATTAGTTTTGAATTTGTCTTTCCTGTGATTTCAGGATCTTTACTCATTTATTGTCTTCATTTTAGTATAATTTGCTTTTGAAAAACATCCAAATTTTAATTGATGCAAGAAATTGAAATAAAATAAATGGCAGGGATAGAAGTTGGGGATCGTTAGGGTTCTTTCCAGATTGTGTTACTCTAATGCAAGTGTCAGCACACTTTTTCTGTAAAAGGCCAGATAGTAAATATTTAGGCCTTAGGAACCTGGCTCAACTCTGCTTTTTTAGTGCAAAAGCAGCCATTGACAATACATAAATGAATGAGCATTGCTATTTTCCAAGAAAACTTTTTTTTTTTTAATACAAAAACAGGCAGCAGGTCTTAGTTTGCTGACTCCTGTGCTACACATATTTTGGATGACACTGCCTATGTGAACAAGGGCTCACTTATTTATTTTTTTAAGTGGAGATCTTAATGGCCTCTCTATTGGTGGCCTTTCCCACCACTGTACAATTTACACGTCCTGAAAAGCCTGTTAATATACCAGTTATAATATTGCTGTTTTCTTATTTTCCAATATCTAAGCCCTTTGACCTGTGGACTCTGCCCAACCTGTTCCTGAGCCAAGGTATTTAATAATCCTATTCTTGGATGGGGATTAATCTGTCTTTTTAGTCCAGTAATCACGTGCCTATATTGAGTCCATAAGTGCCAACAAGCTCTAGTTTTCTCCTACCATTGCCACCCTGTTTGCTCAGATTGAAGATTGATAATATGTCTAATACTAGCAAACTTGTTTCTCCTGGGTTCTGGTGGGACTATAGCTTCTTACACCCAAGCAGGGAGTCTTTATGCTCTTGCTCTTTCATATATAGGGTGAATCTAAAGGAAACATACTATTCCCACCAGCTGTCTTTTTTCTTTTTTTTTTTTTTTGAGACAGAGCCTCGCTCTGTCGCCCAGGCTGGAGTGCAGTGGCGCGATCTCAGCTCACTGCAAGCTCCGCCTCCCGGGTTCACGCCATTCTCCCGCCTAGTAGCTGGGACCACAGGTGCCCGCCACCACGCCCGGCTAATTTTTTGTATTTTTAGTAGAGACGGGGTTTCTCCGTGTTAGCCAGGATGGTCTCGATCTCCTGACCTCGTGATCCCCTCGCCTCGGCCTCCCAAAGTGCTGGGACCACAGGCGTGAGCCACCGCGCCCGGCCCCCACCAGCTGTCTTTAAGTACCGCCACTACACAAAGATTCTTTCCATAGTGTGCCTTCTACCAGATGAGATTATCTAGAAACTGGTAGTAGCCTGGATCAAAGCTATATTCTTCTTCATAACCCCTTGAATACTCTAATTTGGCTGCTAGATACCTTTCTTTGAGGCAAACCGATTCTCCCAGCCCCAACCCTGCCTATTCCCAGCTATTAATTATTTTGCCTAGGGCCCATCAGTCCTTACACCTGAAATCAATCTTCTCTTACTCAAGACACAAACAAATTAAAGGAGCAATAACTTTAAGATAACTTCCTGAAAAATAATTGGAGGCTTTATATTGGCTCATTTTCTTCCCCTTCATTGTTTCTTACTTTCTTCCTTACCTTTCTTCTTTCCTTCTTTTATTTCTTTAGTAATTGATGTATGAAAAACAGAATAATTACAATCTTGACCGTTCTTTCTTATATATAGCCCACTACTTTTATATTAATGTATTTCTGATAACATACCTGAGAGCTGAAATTATGTATTACAGTCACTTCCTAAAATTATGGTTCCTGCTTGTGTCCTACTTCTTTCAGGCCCCATACACCAGTAGTCAGGGGAGATTCTTCCCTGCTTTGGAGTCTGATAGAGATGGAGTTGCACAGCCAGCATCCGGAGATAATAAATTTAGAATTACCACTTTCTAAAAGGAAGATTAGGGGTTTGATAGCTGCCGACTTTATCCACAGTCTTAAATATGTAAGCCCAACCTGCTTGGGTAGTACTCAGGGAAAGGCAGACCATTTCTGCTTTCCTCTGGACCATGTATCAAGAGGGACCTAGCAGATCTTTTTTCAGTCTTTGTGATGAGCCTCTCCTGTCTTCAAATAGCCTGGTATTTTCCAGCGTTGTTAAGGTAGGAGGGGGAGGAACGTTTTGTGAGAACAGCTTTAAGATTGGAGGAGGCTGGACCAGTAGACCTGTGTGAACCATAGGTTCAGTTAAGAGAGCAAACCCATGAGTTTGTGAGATGCTTCTGTGTTCTCCTAGCTTGTGAGCATGCTCTGTTGTGTGGCGGAAACCAGACTATTTCCTTTAACAGTAACAGCTCAGAGGCAGTATTATGAGCATTTGAAATCATCATTCAACAAAATATGTCAAAAAAATCAAACTCAGAAAAGGAAATTAATATAGGATATCATAGTTTAATGAAAGATCATATGAGTTGCTTCAAAGTTGAATGTGTTGAAGTTAATGACTGCCTATCAGGTAAACCATAGATGACATGGAAAGTAGGGAATAGGAACATCACAAAATAAAATGCTGAAGTTTGATATTCTGTGAATTATAGACTTTTCAGTAGGAAACACTTAAACTCTGAGCCTTATGTGAACTTTCTTAAAGATAGGAAGATTATTTATGTTCATTGCCTGGAATATATACAAAACAAAGCTAAAAAGATGAACTCAGCATTTAGTTGATGTGTAGTTAATAAGACATATCTGTAATTTGTATGTTCCAAAATTAAGCTTATGCTATTTTAAGGTTTCGGGTTGAGGAGGAGACAAGGGACATTTCTAGCTTTATTTTCACTGGGTAGATTTATAAGCATTAATTTTAAATGCCATTGTTGGGCCAGGCACGGTGGTTTCCACCTGTAATCCCAGCACTTAAGGAGGCAAAGGGAGGAGGATCAAGACAAGCCTGGGCAATATTATAGTGAGACTTCATGTCTCCAAAAATTTTTTTTAAAAAAATGAGCCGAGCATGGTGTTGTGCGCCTGTCATCGCAGCTACTTGGAAGGCTGAGGTGGGAGGATCCCTTGAGCCCAGGAGGCGGAGGTTGTAGTGAGCTGAGATCACACCACTACACTCCAAATCCAGCCTGGGTGACAAAGCAAGACCCTGTCTCAGTCAGTCAGTCAATCAATCAATAATAAATGTATACCATTGTTTTACTAGGTAAATATTTTATATTTATCTCCTGATGAAGCCTCATTTTTTCTTACTTCCTCACTATAGTATTTAGTGTTTTCTTCAGCAGTACTAAACTATATTTAGATCTACCGCATATACCATTTTTTTCTTTTTTTTTTTTTTTTGTTGAGACAGAGTCTCGCTGTGTCACCCAGGCTGGAGTGCAATGGCATAATCTCAGCTCACTGCAACCTCCACCTCCCAGTTTTTCCTGTCTCAGCCTCCTGAATAGCTGGGAGTATAGGTGCACGCCACCATGCCCGGCTAATTTTTTGTATTTTAACAGAGATGGATTTTCACTGTGTTGCCTAGCCTGGTCTTGAACTCCTGAGCTCAGGCAATCCACCTGCCTTGGCCTCCCAAAGTGCTGGGATTATAGGCAAGAGCCACTGTGCCCAGCTACCATGTTTTTTTCACCTCAGCACCTTTGCTCAAGCTCTTTCTTCAATGCAGAATGTACTTCATTTACCTGCGTTTGTCTCATTCTAACTTAAGACTTGGCCTAGACATCCTGTCAGAAAGACTTCTTTTCTCATTCTTTAGTGCACCCACCCAATTTTGTACTCTCTGTCATTGTATTAGAATTTTGAGAGAACACCTGGAAAGCAAAAGTGATGTTCCCAGTACCTACCACAGAGCATGGCACATAGAGATATTCAGTAAGTATTTGTTGAACTGAGTGTAGATTTAAGGTTAGCTATGTCCATTCTGGTTAATGCTAAGAAACACTAATTGATGTTGATAAAAGTTTTGGTTATGTAGGTAATAGCTGTGCAAAATAGAATGCAAAAGTACAGTCTCTGAATGTTCATCAATTCAGCAGTTCTATTGAACACCCACTCTGAACCACACGCTATATTAGACATTGAAATGTCTATGATCTTTAAATGTGTCTACATCAAAGAACCATTTTGAACTCCAATTAACAGCCACTCAGCAATTGTTAGTGACAATAATAACTACGATATTTTTGTCATAATTGATTTTCTTTACAAATTATCGTTAGACATAGAGCAAGCTAAACAAAACTTTAAGATTTTAGTAAACATTTTATTTGCCAAGACATAAAATTTTCTTAAGTTCTGATACCTCTAAAGCTGAAGAGGTAAATCTGTATTTTATAGATTCATTCTAGATGAATTATTTAAATAAAATAGTCTAGGACCTCACTCTACTTGCTTACAAAATAAAAACAATACATTTAGATCTATTTTTATTAAACTGCTACCTAGAATTAAAGCAAGTAGAAATAAGATGTTGTTCAGAGTTACAAGAAAATTTTCTTCGATTCATTTCCCTTGTCTTACATTATCCCCAGCCTCCTATTCTCACCCTACCCTCAGCCCCATCCCCTAAGCTGGCTTCTAACATCTCATAGTAACTGAATGGTCATTCTTACCTCAACTCTTAACCAGTGCTATAAGAAAGTATATTGCCCTGTGTGGGCAAAAGTTTTAACAAACTCTTTTCCTTCAGCATGAGAATTTGACCTTCTTTTAACTCTAGCTCTGTTTCCTTGGTAATCTGATAAGGGTAGTATGTCAACTGTGTTAATAGACAACATTGCTTATGGTAGAAATAACCCCTAATTGGTAAGCTTCATCTGAACTGGTAGCACTACAAACACCTGGCAGGAAGCCATATCTTTGGGTCTCTCTGTATGTGGTGACTTATAAGTGGACATGTCCCTTGATTCTGGCAGCTGTGGCCATTGAGTTGTTACAAGAAATATTGGCTCTGGTGGGGCATGAAGCCTCTAGGTCAGTGCAGCTCCCTCACCTGCTTGATGTAAATCTCAAGTTGTACCTAAGCTGCGATCTAAGAGGCCAGGAAAAAAAAGCTCCTAGATAGCTATGTGAACCACTACATGGAACCTGCAGAGACTCCTGCAGAAGAGGAATACCTGATTCTGCCCTACTCACATGCATTAGTTCTTGTCCTGTAATATTCTGGGTGGACAGGTGCTCAGGATGGCCTATGGTTGTCCCGTGAATTTGCACATTCAGTTGAACCTAAGGAGACCTCTTAGTGGGCATTGAAGATCTGACTACCTTTTGTTTCTTGGATCTTACTGAGAGAGAAATGTAATGAAAGAATGGAAGCAAAGATTTTTGATTGGTTATTTCACAGTGATGCTGTCTCTGTGTCATAGTACCCATATGTTCTGAATCTAAGAGCTCTTGTCACACAGGATTGTTGAAGGAATACTTCCAGCAGGTAACTTCTGTGGCAAAAAGTCTGGTGTGGCTGTACACTACAGTATTTGTGCATTCATCAAATATTCTCCTGATCATGTATTGATAGGTTCCTTTTTTCTGTTTTTATGTTTTAGAGACTATCTTAAGAAGTCAGGAGGTGACTGGTGATAATTGTAACTAATTAGCACTTAGTGGATACATTATTTCACTCTTCACTATATTATTGTTCTCTGTATCATGTTGATAAGATTCTTCTAATTTTACTAATAATTTGATTCTTTTGTTTAAGATTGGACCTTTAAGGTCATTTATAAGGAAGCTATTCAGTCCTTGATTATAATTTTAAGTAATGCATTATAACCAATAGGTGAGAGAAAATATCACAGTTTTTTAATAATTGAAAAACACTTAGACTAAAACCAGTTTTTCTAGTAGTACAGGATTCATTCATTTAAATTTTTGTCTGTGTTACAGAAACAATGTGTCTTCTCTTTTGGAAAATTAAAATGTATGGATACATGAGAAAAAAAATTCAGAATATCTGATTCCCTTACTCAGAGATACCCAGTGTTAGCAAGCATGTTTTGCATTCCAAACCTTTTGTTACTCTGTGTGTATAAATGGAGAGAAAGGTGAGGGGGAGCAAGTAAGACAGAGGAGGGATGTGTTTATTTATATTATTTTTGTAATGGGATCAAAATGTGCATACTGTTGTGAATCTTTTTTTCACTTGATCCATCTTGAATTTATTTTTATGTCAATACATATTCATCAACATTGTTTTAAAATACAGAATAGAAACTAAATGGAAGTATCATAATTTATTTGATCAATCCACTATTGTTGGCATTCATAGTTTTTTTTTAATGATAGGAATCTCTCTTCAACAGCTCACAATAAATGATCATACAGCTATTGCTTTTTTCTAGATTTAACATTTATATTAAATATCATCTTATAGTATGCTACTGTATTTAGAAGCTATGTCACAATGCTGGGTAATAAGGAGTTTGTGGGGAACTAGAGCAGGCAGTTTTTGTCTATACAAGCCGCTGTTAAACCACTTTTCCCTGACCTTTTTAATGTCTTAATTAATTAATTAATTAATTAAAATACTGAGTAAAAGCAAAGGACAAAGGTGGACTCTCCCTGAACACCTCTCTTTACATTGGCATAGCACTCTACTTTGAGAAGCAAGATTGTTAAGCCATTGGTGATTCTTTTTTAATTTTTTAAAGTGATACACAATATTTGTACCTTTTTATGGGTTACAAGTGGTATTTTTTTACATACATAGACAGTGTAATGATTAAGTCAGGGTATTCAGTTTAGCCATCATCTTGAGTAGTTATCATGTCAATGTGTGGGGAACATTTCAAGTCCTCTCTTCAAGCTATTTTGAAATATGCAATAATTGTTGTTAACTGTAGTCACCCTGTTCGGCTGTGGACATTGGAATGTATTCCTTCTATCCAGCTGTATGTTAAGGCCCATTTACCAGCCTCTCTTCATCCTCTCCATTCCCCCACCACAAACAGCCTACTTAGCCTCTGGTTACTATCATTCTACTCTCTACCTCCATGAGGTCAACTTTTTTAGCTCCCACATATGACTGAGAGCATGTCATGTTTCTCTTTCTGTTCCTGGCTTACTTCACTTAACATAATAACCTCCAGTTCTATCCATGTTGCTGCAAATGACAGGATTTCATTCTTTTTTATGCCAAGTAGTATTTTATCATTGGTGCTATGTGATAGTAGACATTTAGTGATTTGATATTGGTAGCATGTTTGCTACTAGTAGGGCAGAGAGCTAATCCCTACTATTTTTTCCAAAAATATTACAACCATTGTTAAAACATAAATCATTAAGAGAGCCACTATAAAAATAAGTTTAAAAAATTCTCAGGCAAAATGACCATTTTGTTTTTATCATGGTGGTACCAAGATTACTTAATAGAGAAATTGGTAGGATAGAGGGTATAAAACTCTGAGGGCCATATCTCCAGTTTATATTTCACTGTTTTGTCCAAAGGTATATGTTGGAAATCCTTGGTTCATTGCTTTGTTAAACTTCATGCCATTCTGATACTACCTGGCACATTTTAGGTTTTTAGAATTATAGAAAAGCCTGGCAACTTCTCTAGTGTGAAAGTTGAAAATGCAGAAATAACATTAAACAGGATCTTAATACTATTTTATTTACACAACAGTCTATTTAAAATGGAAGTGTAAAAATTAACTATAATAATACCATAAATTAAGCATTATACCAAGTTTTTTGTTTTTTTTTTTTTAGATGGAGTCTCGCTCTTGTCACCAGGCTAGAGTGCAGTGGCACAATCTCAGCTCACTGCAGCCTCTGCCTTCTGGGTTCAAGCAATCCTCCTGCCTCAGCCTCCCGAGTAGCTGGGATTACAGGCGCCCACCACCATGCCCAGATAATTTTTGTATTTTTAGTAGAGACAGAGTTTCACCATGTTGGCCAGGCTGGTTTCGAACTCCTGGCCTCAGATGATCCACCTGCCTCGGCCTCCGAAAGTGCCGGAATTACAGGTGTGAGCCACCACACCCGGCCAAATTATACCAAGATTTAACAAAATAACAGACATATATTAAAATATTAAGAATCATTTTGTTCAAAGTCAAAAATCACTAATACGGGCCTTTTTCTTTCTCTCTGTGTTTAGATATATCTGTATATGTGTGTGTGTGTGTGTGTGTGTGTGTGTGTGTGTGTGTGTGTGTGTATGTGTAGATATGGGTTTATGTATATGTAAATGTGTGAATATTTAGCAGGAAGCCACAATTATTGAGGCAGGTATTGTGGTAAGTCACTTTATATTCTCATTTAATCCTTCTAATAATCTAGTGAAATAACTACTATTTTTATCCCCATTTTTGAGATGAGAAAAGTGACTTCTAGAGAGAGGAAGCAACTTGTGCAGGATTACGCAGTCATTAAATTATAGACTTTGGAACTTACATAAGATCTCTCAGTGCTTTATGATATTGTAGCTAACAGATATGCTCAATATGTTTTTACCTGTTGTAGAATCCAGATCATTAAAAGAAAAGATATTTGCTCTGTGATAATTCAGCATTACGTTTATCCTCTTAAGTTTTCTCCGGCTTCCCTCTGTCTTTAGAATGCGTTCTGTGTCTAAACTTTTGAAAAACAAAGCCCATTGCTTTTGTCCTACAAATATTTCATAGAGGATGCTACGTTGGCTATCTCTCTTTTTAAGTTGAAAATAGAATAAGAATTTAACTTCACATGAGAACATAAGAATAAGAATGCTCTAGGTTTTGTAATCATTAAGTTTAGTTTTTAAAAAATGTTCATTGTGAATCATAATCCTAAATTTGAAAGATCATGTGAAGAAAATGTTAAAAGCTTATTGGACAGTACATTTAAAAAAGTCTTGCATGTTCAGACATTTTCATCCTCTAGAGGAAATCATAGCTAAATATACGTATCTGTACTTCTTGTTTTAGCCTTTGTATACTAGTGTTTATTCACCTAGAGAATTCAGTATTCTAATTTGAAGATAGGTTCTACCCTGCTCATACTATTCAATATAATAATAGCACTTATCGTCATAGATATACTGGCTTGAGACTTGAAATTCAAGTGAAAAATACCTTTGGGTAATTAGACTACACAAACTTATGTAGTTACCTGAAATCTGCATAGTAAAAATGAATCATCATTTAGTTTAAAATAAATTTACTAAATTATAACATCTGACACAATGCCATCCAGTAGGATAACATATTTAAAATGTATGGGCCGAAATGTAGACTTTAGTATTTATAGGTAAGACTTCTATTATAGAAATCATCATCATGGTTTGCTTTGTATCTAAAAACAAATTCTCTATGTATATAAGTTATATAGTGTAAACAAAAGTAGTAGATCCTTTTGTGAATTATTTAAGCTTAGAATTTTTTTTCTGGGAATAGAACATATATACCAACCAAAGGTTTGATTCAGCGGTAAATTGAATGATTTTAGATTTAATACGACGTGCCTCTTCAGTTCTTTAGGCACATGTGAATTAATTGTTGCATGAAAACTGAATAAAGTGACACTTGATTGCCCCTGATAATGAGATCCTTAGTTTCTGTAAGAGGCTGCTGTGTTATGAATACATCAGATTTAGTTATTAACTAAAAAGTTTTTTTCCAAATTTTCATGTCCTAGGAAGGCTAGATCAATTGGATCTGACTGGGGGTAATATTTCTTTTCAACAGTGGTAAATGTTTATGAATCTTTCCAATAAGCTTTCTAAACCACAGTGATTTGGTTGAGAAATACAGATTTCTGGTTGTATTTTGTTAATGTTCTGGAGTACCTATATCCAGCTCTAAAGTTTAGCTTTTTAACAAAAAATGATATAGGAGATGAAGTGATAGACAGCTGGTGGGTTATTCCCAAGGCCTTAGGCACCCTCCACCCCACCCCACCACCATAGAACTGGCTGAGAATCCTTAGATAGAAATATTTCAGGTTTTTTTGTACTGATTTAATCTAAATAACTTGCACTTCTTAGAAGTGTGAGTTTCTCGCTGTGATGTTTTTCTATTACTGTATGCCAAGGAGATAGATCAGCTTAAGACCCCTACTGTGGTGATGAAGTCAATGTAGAAGAGAAAATGCTCACCATTGTCTTAATTCTAGATTTATCATTTGGGGTAGGGGGTAGCAGGTATAGGCAATCACACAGCCCAATAAACATTTTCTCCTGATGTACAAATTAAACTCTTGGAGTTATGCGGTGGGGATATTAATATAAGGGGTGGTTTTGAAGTTGATGTTAAAAGTCAGTGTCATAGTTTTTCATGGATCAAAACTGTATAAATGATTTTATCACTCTTCCTTCCTTGCTCTTACATTTAAAAGCTTTGCCTCAGTGGAAACAACTTAAATGTCTATCAGTAGGGGATTATTTAACTATATATGGTACATTCTTATAATGGCATACTGTATAACCATTAAAAATGACTTCTACATACATACAAGTAAAAGTTATTAATATTTATCAAGCACATACACTTAATGTGCTAGACACTATTCTAGGAAATGACCATGGAATGTCTCATTGTATCTACACAACAACCCCATGAGAGAGGTACTATTGTTATCCCTATTTTAAAGATGATTTACTTGAGATTGAGAAAAATAAATCACCCAAGGTCACACAGCTATAAAGAAATGCCAAGTTATGGACCTAGGCAGTCTGATTCTATAGCAAGTGTTACTAACTACTGTGCCATATGCCATAACTACTATGTGGCTGGTATAGAAATGTGCATTTTTTATAAATCAACAGGTAAAACAGCATATCATGTATAGCTTGATACTGTTTACATAAAATTGTTGCCCCTGGTTATTTTGGGCTTATAGGATACCAGATAATCTTTTTTTTTTCTTTTAAGATTTTTTTTATCAGTGAATATTTAGAATTTTTCTAATATAAAGATATCAATAAAACTTTTGTATTTTGTAAACAATAAGTAAATCACTGCTCAAACTAATTTCTCCTCCACTTCTCTCAGTTAAGTGTTTCTTCCTTTCCCTATCAATTTTGGTGCTTTGACTTCTATGAAGCAGCAATTATACTGCTTAGTCTGCTTACCTTCAGCAACACTCTAAGTGTTAAAAGGACCTTCTACATTTGTAATTTGTTTGTATCTTATTTGTAATTCCTTTGGATTCTTTCTCTTTCCTTTGTAAAACTCTATCATATTTAGCTTGGTGTTCATTGGACTTCCAATAAATATTGATGAGGTAAAAACAAAGTCTAATGTGAGCATTCTGGTTTAACAGTTTTATAGGTTATACTATTTCCTTTTAGAAAGAGTTTTGGATATAACCGGAAACTAGTACCTTCAAAGGAATAGTTTGTTTTTTTTTTGTTTTTTTTTTTGTTTTTTTTTTTGAGATGGAGTCTTGCTCTGTCGCCCAGGCTGGAGTGCAGTGTCGCCATCTCGGCTCACTGCAACCTCTGCCCTCCCCGGGTTCAAGCAGTTCTCCTGCCTCAGCCTCTTAAATAGCTGGGATTACAAGGAGCCTGCCATTGCGCCCAGCTAATTTTTGTATTTTTAGTAGAGACGGGGTTTCACCATCTTGGCCAGGCTGGTCTTGAATTCCTGACCTTGTGATCCACCCACCTCGGCCTCCCAAAGTGCTGGGATTACAGGCGTGAGCCACCACACCCAGCCAGGAATAGAATTTTACATGAGGATGTGGCAGTAATGATTTGGAAATGATCATATGTGGCTAGAGGAATGCTGTTCTTCTCTTTCCTCCAAACTCTGTTATAGTATTATTCGAGGGTCTTGGAGAATAAAGACCTCCTCTAGAGAGGACCACCAGAGAAAAGCATCCTCTGGGTTTCTGTTAAGACAGAGGTGTCAAAAAGCATTTTTGAAGACATGAGGCATACGGGATTGTCAATTGTTAATTATGAAATATAGCAGCAGTAATAGAGATGCAGTAGAAAAGCTTTGTGGGAAGAGATTATTGGAAAGATGGCTCAGGGAAGAAGCAGCCCAGAATAGAATAAGGCAACTAAGGAAGACTGTACATGACTGTGGAAGAGGGGTCTACATGTCAGAGTGTGGCCAAAGATGACAGGGCTGTAAGGGAGAAACTGAGACTTAAATATTCAGTCAGTTTTATTTCTTTGTTTTTTGATAATCAGAGGCAAAGGTAAAAACGTATTTACTGTTTGAAACCAGAATGAGGGTCTAGAACCCTGCCACCATATCTCTTTTTCCTTGCCTCATTTCCATCCTGTGGCCCATCTTACATCAGGCATTAGCCTGGGCTAAGAGAAATGGAAATAGTTTTCCTAAAGAAGTCATAGCATCAAGTTATTAAAACTTTTTTCATCCGTAAATATTTCTGTCTGTATATCTAAAAGATAAGGACTCAATTTTAAAATTACTACATTATCACACTTCTAAAAAATTAGAAATACTCCTTAGCTATGAGCATTGCACCAGTCAGTTTTCAGATTTTTCTGATTGTATTATAAGTGACTTCTTGTGGGTCTTTTTTTTTTTTTAACAGTTGTTTGTTTGAATCAGGATCTAAATAAGATCCATATGTTGCAATTGGTTAATGTATTCTTAAGTGTTTCTGAATCTATAGGCGTCTCACTCAGGATTAATAATTGATTAGACTTTTATAAGTACAGTTTCTGTAACTGTAGTGATTTTAAAAAGTAATAATTTATATTGCAAGAGTTAAATATACCAGTAAGATCTATTCTCAGTATGGGCTTAAATATAATTAAAATTCCACAGCTTGGAATCGTATCCAGTTTTTTATTCAGTGCCCACATAAATGTATTAATGATCAAAATAATTAGTTTGCAAGAAATCAGGAGCCACTAGTAATTGGCCAACTTATTCTATTGTAAATAACGTCTGTATAGTTATTTTCTTAATTTGCCCTAAAATCATGGCCTTAGAAAGTAGTAGTATCCTGATTATCCAATGCTAGTTAAAGAAAACATATCACAAAAATTAAATGTTTAGAGATTTTTCCTACTTTACCAATAGGAACTAATTTGAAAACTCAAAGTCGTCGTTTTTTGTTGTTGTTGTTGTTGTTTTCTTTTGCAGAGTGATAAAGATGTTTCTGTCTTTCTGCTTTGTACTACAGCCCAATATTGGTTTTAAAAAAGGCTCCATGTAGCCTGAAGAAGCAATAATGATTGGTAGTATATCAGTCAAGATGGGCTATATTATGAAGTAATGAGAAATAACCACAAAACCTCAGTGGTTTAAAAACAACAAAGGTTTATTTCTTGCTCTCCTTGCATGTCCATCATGGTCAGCAGCATCTCTTTTTGTAATAGTCACTTAGGGACTTTGTGTAGCAGCCACCATTTCAATCATTTCTTTCATCATGCTGGAAAGAAAGACAAAAAAAGAGGCCTCAGAGGTCTGACATCTGCAATTAAATGTTCCAGCTTAGAAGTCACACATTCAATCACAAGGAAGCTGTGAAGTTAGTCTTCTAGGTGCCAGTGAGAGAAAGACCAGCTATTGGTGAGCAGTACAGATAACTAACAGAGGTTATCATTGTAATAATAGGTTAAGTGATAATTCTATTACTAGCTTCTGATAAATCTGTTCACTCATTTATTCATTTACTCAGTTATTCATCAAATATTTATTAAGTAACTGCTATGTACAAGTTACTGTACTAGACAGTGGGAACATTGAAGTGAATAAAACGCATCCATCCCTCTTCTCTAAGTTCTCATAGTCTAGTAGAGGCAAACCACAAGTAATTTTATATTGGAGATTGGCAAACTATTGCCTACAGGCCACATCTGCCCTGCAGCTTGTTTTTGTGTGTCCCATAAGCTAAGAATGTCTTTCACATTTTTAAAGGGTCAGGAAAAGAAATGAATGAAGGGGACTATGCAACAGAGACTGTTAAGTGGCCTGCCCACAGCCTGAAATATTTACTGTCTAATCCTGCACAGAAAAAAGTTTGCTGACATCTGTTCTATAATAACTGTACTTAAATTTGAAGCTCTTCAAACTAACTGCTCTCTAGCCCATTGTCAAAAGTCACAGAATTGTCTTGTAAGCTCCACATATCTCTTAATAGTGTGCCTTTTGTTTAATCTGATACTTTATTTCATGGAAATATAAATCTTTTCCTGTGTCTTTGGAATGGCAATTTTATTGGCATCTTGAGTTGTCTTGTTACTGGGCATTGTAGGCATAGGTGACTATTTGATTTGTTGCATAGTTAGGTAGCTGTGAGATGGCCAGACTCTTAAATGTCTTTATGCAGATATTAAGTAATGACTTGTTTTGGAACAGGAATTATAGCAACCAAGAGGATACCTGCTTCCTTAGTTTTAGAAATCAAAGTCAGAGAATGGAAGTACATAGAAGTAGATTTTTATCTTCTCTACTATGGACTGGGTAACTCTATTGAGGATAATTTTAAACGGAGTAAGAGACTGTGGTTCAAAGTGTATAGAATGTAAAAACAATATATAGTGTCCTGCTCCATATGAAGCACTTGTTGATAATACCTAAGGACGTGTAAGAATCACTCATGGTACTCAAATTCATAATAGAGGAGGAGGGTATTTTGATTCAGACTGAGAGGAGTGGGATTGTATAAAACAAGTCTGGATTGTTCTAAAGCAGTTTTTGAGGAAAAATCTGCAAAAGATGTGACTTTTATAGCATGAGGGTAGGGTGAACAACAGGAAGGAAATGATGCCTTGAACTTAATACATAATATACTCTCATATTGACCATCAGAGCTCAATTTATGATAGAGTTGGGAGACTCGATAGATTAAAGAAGTCTGCTAAATTCCACACCAACTTTAGGATCTACTTAAGGTGTAAGGGGTTCTGTTATGTGGAATGTAGAATGTCAATGCCAAAAACACCTGTTCAGCAACAGTTTGTAGAATTCTAGATGGCCTTGGTAAAGGACATTTCCTATGCCGTTGAGTTGCTTATAGGAACTAGATTTTTATATTTTTGGGAAAACTCCTCTTTCAGATCTGTTGCTTCAGAGCTTGTATCCTTAACCATCATTCTGAACTCTTATAAGGATTAGAATCAATTTCCTTAACAGTGAACAAGTGTATTTTTCCAAGTGATTCCTAAGGTTCTTTCTAGTTTTTTGGCTGATTATGACAGTCAAAAATGACAGCCCTGGCTCAGGTCTGTGACTCCAGTAACTCTAACCAGATTCTGAGCTTATATACTAGATGTCCTATGTATCCAGTGGGTGATCATTTACTTGTATGTCAGATTGACAAAGTATTTTACCAGTCTTCTATTTGTTTGGAGACTACCAGATACACACAAGATATGCCAGTGCTTACTATGGATTACATACAGTCCACTTCTCCTGGCTATTGACTGTTACCATATGTAATTCTGAGATTATCATTTAAAATCTCCTTTTCCTTGTATAGTCATTTTATTGTTAATTTCCATAAAATGAACTGCTCGACCACATAGTCCCTGCAAATGTACCATTATATAACAAGGTCGTATGACTGACTGCTCTTTCTACAGTAGCTAAAATAGCGTAAGTATATATTATCCATTGGAACATCTAACATATATTCTTTGACTCTTTCAGAGCTGATATCTACATTACAAATAAAGTGTTTTTGTTGGTAATTGTGGGCTTCTTTTGGTTAATGATAATTGCAAATGTAACTTCATGTAACTGGATATCATAGCCATAAAGTAATTTGGATTAGCCAATAATCCTGACTTTATGTTGGAAAATTTAATATTGTAAAAGAACAAGTGTGTTAATTATTTTATTAATTGCCCCATTGTTCATGGAGACAAGTGCTACAGACTGGAACAAATGACCCCATACCCAACTTTTAAGACATGCTTATAGGAAAATGTTTAATATTGTTCACTCATCTCCCTATGGTAGTGATCTTCTTGATGCATAGCTTTATAGCTTCCCTGTCTTTATTTTGACTGTCCACTGAAATGTATTTCCAGGTCAAAAACATTACAGTTTTAAAAACAAAATTTAAGTGGTGAAGTGTCTAAAGTTATTCATTGCCACCTAAGCCAGTGCTAATTCATAAAATGCTGACCTGGGATCTCAGCAGAATTGTGAATAGTTTGCTTCTATCTTCCAATTTCAAAATGACTGACTTTGTGTGTTTGGTCTAGCCTCATCCAGCCTTAAGCAATGGTTTTCAAATGTTTTACAGGATGATAGTAGTATTGGCAGCAAGCTCAATCGATGAGGATATTGTTATAGTTATAGAATCATAGTCAGTTTTGATAATACAAACTAGAGAAAGTGAAGCTTCATATAATCTTCTTGGCTAGTGAGCATATAGAGAAAATACACCATCTATATGTGCCTGAAATTCTCAAGTTAGAGAGGCAGTCTCTGCCAGTCCACTGCATCTCCATCCCACTTCTACTTGTGTCTACTCTCCTCTCTTAAAACTTGCTTTTGGCCTAGTGCGGTGGCTCACATCTGTAATCCCAGCACTTTGGGAGGCCTAGGCGGGTGGATCACAAGGTCAGGAGTTTGAGACCAGCCTGACCAACATGGTGAAACCCCGTCTCTACTAAATATACCAAAATTAGCCAGGCATGGTGGTGCACACCTGTAATCCCAGCTACTCTAGAGGCTGAGGTAGTAGAATAGCTTAACCCCGGGAGGCGGAGGTTGCAGTGAGCTGAGATCGCACCATTGCACTCCAGCCTAGGCGACAGAGGGAGACTCTGTCTAAAACAACAACAACAACAACAACAACAACAACAACAACAACAACAACAAAAACTTGCTTTTACCCATTTTCCATAAAGTCCAGAACCTCAAGGCTAGTTAATTTAATAAAGTGTGTTGTCATGATGTTAATAGATTCTAATTTATCTCTATCAGGTAAAGACATTGAATAAAATAGTGACTCTTCTGGAATTATTAAAACAAAACAAAATCGAAACAAACAAGAACAATAGAAAACCCTTGGTCTTATTGTGCAAAGGAAGTTTAGGATTAAGGTGAAGGTGATGTTGGAAGGCATGGAAATAGGGGCAGCAGGTTAATCTTTCCCTCAATTACAGCAGGCAGGCATTCATGTACTGAATGTTTGAGTCAGTTTTGGTACAATGGAAGCATTTCTGTCTCAATGTATTAAAATCATAATCCTTCAATAAAATTAGTGTATATGGAAATTCATTATATTTCATATTTAGTTTCAGACACATCTCCTATAGATAGCTAGTTTCCAAGTAACTTCAAAAAATGATCTAGGAATATTAAATTGTAAGAAAAGCAGAGTTTATTAATTTTATTCAACAGCAAATTTGAAGTACATATTCATGATAATATGAAAACAACTTTTTGCTCTATATATAATAATGCTTTTTTTAAAAAAAATCTGGCATCCACTTTTGAAACTAGCATTGTTTAGGCTTAAATCTTTTAGTATTGGACCCTAATTTAAAGACTAGTTAGGTTTAAATAGACATTTTATTTCCATTCTTAAAGTTTTTAGATGGCCTGGGGGAAAGATGAATACACATCTTGCTGTTTTGCTGATTTGTGAATCTACTAAATTTAAAAGGAAATAAAATTATGAAGTAGTGAAAAATACATAACATACAACCTAGGTCAAAGGTATTTGAAATTATTATATATTATGATAGCAGCTATGTAAATATGCAATGGTTTAAACATTTAAAAAGTATTAGAAGCAAATGTATGGAAATTCTGAGTGATTGTATTAAGGTGCTAAGATAAGAGCCTTTTTTCTTCTAGATTCTGATTTTTCTGTAATATGGTTGTACTTTTATGATGAGAAGAATAAATACGTTTTAACAAAATGCAATATAGGAAGCTAAGATTAAATACGGAAAACCATTTGCTGCTTCTAATTATGGAAAATGTTTCAACGGCACTTATATTAAATATAAGGATATTTCATGTACCCAAAAGACTATATTTTCTATAGAGTATATTTCAGCATAAGAACCAGCTCACAGCTCAGAGTGTCAGGGTGCTAGGCAATCTTCAAAATTAATGTCCAATAAATTTTAATGTAAAAGGGTCTAAATAAATGTTAACTTGTTTATTGTCTCCTCCAAACTTCTTCATTCCCTCCAACAGTTTGAATAAAGTACAAAGGTAGGGTTCTTGACTGTCTTTTAAAATTGTTATATCTTTAGCATTTAGAACAGTTTCTGGGAGAAAGTAGGAGCTTAATGGTATTTGTTGAATGAATGAATAAATAACAGATGAGGGAGATAATGCAATTAACTCCTAATTGTATATGCACAGATATTTCCAGTATAAATTGCTTATGTTCTCTCACCATCTCTCCTGGTTTCGACTACAATACTAGAGAAATATTAAACTTTTTACAAGGATTAAGGATACCTTGAACTAGCTGAGAAAGAATATAGCACCTTGGGGCCAAGCAATACCAGCCGTGGTAAGGAGTTACATCCCATCACTCATATCACCCTGACTGTAATAAGGAATAAGAGTACAGTAGATAGGGAAGAGAGGTAAGAGGAGCATATTGTAAGTTCTGGTCTCCTTTTTTTCAAATGGACCCTGTGTTGCCGCAGAACCCATGGTGCCACCCACTCAGAAGGCTTCCTGGATGGCTCTGTGCATGCTTAAGATGAACGGGTCTACCTTTCTTTGTTCCTTCCCCATTCTTATTCTACATAGTACCTACTGCACTGTAACTTATGGTTTTGTGGGAGAAATTCCAGGTATCTTAGAATACAGAATCATATAAAAGAGCAGTAACTACTCATCTTGAGAGTGATTGCATTTATTTCATAGGTAAGTAATCTTGCCCATAGCTAATACACTTATTATTTCCTTTTATTCACTTCCGCATGAGTCTATATAATTCATTTTTAGGCTCTTCTGAATCATTCTGCTTCCATTCTGTAGCATCATTCTTTTTGGTTGCTGTTTTCTTCCATACTTATTCCTCTTTGAGGAAATACTTCGCACTTCATATGCAAAACCAGAGGCATTTCTCATGAATCCTTTAGATTATGAGAAAGCAAAATTTCTTTTCACAAACCCCACACCTTTCCACAATTTTAGGCTGAAACTGCTCTCTACAAGACCTTTTGAATGCTTATACAACAGCATCTTTTATCTGAACCCTGAGTTTTTCAATTCTTTTCATTTATTCAGTGTCTTCTGTGGTGTCTTCCCTTTTCCAGAGCACTTATCCTTCTCTGTCAAGCTTCTTTCAAGTATCTTTATTCCTTTTGACTGTAACAGGTTCTCTGAACTCTTCAGGTCTATGCCATTTGCCCAGTACTACCAGCATCTCAGTCTGGATTATTCATCATCTTAGATGGTCATATTTTCTATTATTCACCTTTTTGTCCTTCTATTTCTTCTCTGATTGGCATTAGCATATTCATTCACTTTTTCAGTTATTCATCAGATATTTACTGAGTCACTACCATGTACCAGAGCTCTGCTAAATGTTGGAATAAGTGGTAAAAGAAACAAACATGGTCCTAGCCCTTACAGAGTTTACTGTCCACTTGAGGAATAAAACAGTAGGCTCACACATCTACAACTCAATTATACCTCCGTGACTTAATCTGCATGTGATTTCAGAGGAAGGGGTTTTTTATTATGGAACTCTCCTGTTTATTTGCAACTCAGAAAGTAGTAAAATAATCTTACCTTTTTGCTGGTGGCCTTGGAACAAATTCAAGATCATCTGGTTTGTTTCCAACAAAATACGTAGGTTATCCTCTATAAAAGTATTATTAATAATTATAAACAACATTTATTAGGTATCATCTCATTGTCTTTCTTGCCCTTGGTAGGCATGATCTCCTATAGTCCTTCAATAAACCTGTGACAAAACTGGGGCCCAAAGAGGTTGGCATTTGCCCAAAGTCATTCAGATACTAAGTGAGAGAGGGGATTTAAATCCAAGTCTGTTTGGTCCCCGAATCTGAGCTCTGTTGTCATGTTTGCCAGTTTTCATCACTAGTAAAAGGATTCAAAAGCTGAATGTCTAAAACCTGTGTTCTTCTTTTGCGCTTATTAACCATCCAATATTTCTGCTATATAAAATGTTAATGAATCTTCATTGCAAAAATCAGGATATCAATAAAATCCATTCACAAAGCAACTTTATAGATGGTTAATTGGTTTGGCTTATTAATGAGATTATGGCTTTTGAAATACTAGGAAATATTTACTATCAAGTGGAAAATATTTTTGCGAAAGGATTGATTACAGTTTAGCGTTATTTATTATTTTAAATCATAGCCTCTGGTTAACTGAAACCAAGGAACATATTTTCTTTGTTAAAAATGAAATTTTTAAAAATTGAGAAGATAAAAAGACATATACATGGTCCATCCAAAATATAATATGTATATTATTTTAACTTTATGCTATTAACATATTTTATTCAAGAATAAGAAATAGAGGATCGCAATCAAGGTCCTATATTACACCCTGTCCTTACTCAAATAGTTTCATTTTTTATTTATTTTTATTTTATTTTATTTTATTTTTGAGACGGAGTCTTGCTGTGTCATCCAGGCTGTAGTGCAGTCGCGCGATCTTGGCTCACTGCAACCTCTGCCTCTCGGGTTCAAGTGATTCTCCTGCCTCAGCCTCCTGAGTAGCTGGGACTACAGGCGCACGCCACCACGCCCGACTGATTTTTGTATTTTTAGTAGAGATGGGGTTTCACTATGTTGCTGAGAATGCTGTCGATCTCCTGACCTCATGATCCACCCACCTCGGCCTCCCAAAGTGCTGGGATTACAGGCATGAGCCACTGCACCTGGCTGAATAGTTTTATTTTTATTCTTTGTTTACATACTTGATTTTAAAAGTATTTTTGTACCCTTCACATTTTCAATACCAGAAGACTTTTCCTCCTCAAGATGTAGTTTACACAAAAAGATTGAAAACTTGATGTAGAAATGCTTTATAAAGTCTCTCGTTTTGCTGTTTGCAATACAAGACGAACTTTCACATGGTAGAACACAGATCTGTGTAGTACTTATTGCATTTAAAGTCAAATACTAAGATCTTATGTCACCATTAATATTGGGCAGATCACTTAGCCTTTTCCATGCTTCTGTTCTCCTACGGGGATGCCACCAACTCCTTGTGACATGTCTAGTTAGAAGATTTAATCTTTACATTAGGATTATATTATGTAATTCTGCCCAACTAGAATTAAAAATATTCTAACATGAAGGACATATAAAAGGTATTGTATTATGATTGACAAAATAAAACAATTTTGACAGACCTCAGGTAATATCTATTCTAATTATCTGCCTTTTAAAATATAGTTTTAAAAATACTTCAGTACAGTGTTTATTGATTTCCAAGTCATTATTTCAATATAGATTTTTCAGCATTGTTACATTAATCTTTCCATGGAAATTTAGGCCAATTGAGATCTTTGCCTCAGAAACAACACAATATCTTTAATAGGTTCTGCCTTTTTTTAGGGCTAAGTAATTAATCTGCAGTATGTGAATATCATATACTTTTGGTTATTTAAATTTAGCTGATTTTTGCTTTTCTTTTTTTAAAACTTTTCTGGACATTAAAAAGTGCATTACCATGAAATTTTTGGGAACCAGCCATTATGTAAATACAGGGTATCATGTAAAATATTTTTGTCATTTTCATTTAGTGATGGCTGGTTTTTATCCTGAGGCATTTGCCCACATTCTTAAGAAATCCACTCCCTAACTCTGTACCTCTGGCTAATAATATTTCCTTGTTGCCATCATTTTTTCTTAATTCGTAAACAATAGAAGGTGGAGTCCAATTTGAAGTCAAACAATTCCATCAAGGCATAAATGAGTTGACTCCAACTACTGAGATAGAAAATGTCACCAAAGGGGTTAGTAGGAAGAAGAGAGAAGGAAACACCCATGCAGATTGACCCAGAAATAGCATCCCCTGTGCCACATTTGTGTTGGTCTGTGTAAACAACACAGCAGGTTATGCCCACTGAAACAAGAGCAGAGGTGAACAACATTGCTCAGGTCCAGGGAGTTTTGCTTGAGTGAGAGGAAACAAGGAATGGTGGGTTTTGTTGGCAGTCCGTATAAAGCAAGGTTCCCCACATCACTATTATTATTGTTACTGGTAATTGTGGTTGATTGTTGCTAATTTAAGATTAGAAACTAATTTAAACCTCCTATTTTGAACAATGTCATTTTCTAACATCCAAAACAAGAGAAATTTTGTTCTTTTCCCGTTACTGAGACTCTTGAAACTTTTACAGGAATCCTTGGGCACCAGAGCAATTACTTCCAGTGCTTTTAAAAGTTTTGGAGCGGCCGGGCGCGGTGGCTCACGCCTGTAATCCCAGCACTTTGGGAGGCCAAGGCGGGCGGATCACGAGGTCAGGAGATCGAGACCATCCCGGCTAAAACGGTGAAACCCCGTCTCTACTAAAAATACAAAAAATTAGCCGGGCGTAGTGGCGGGCGCCTGTAGTCCCAGCTACTTGGGAGGCTGAGGCAGGAGAATGGCATGAACCCGGGAGGCGGAGCTTGCAGTGAGCCGAGATCCCGCCACTGCACTCCAGCCTGGGCGACATAGCGAGACTCCGTCTCAAAAAAAAAAAGTTTTGGAGCTAGTTAGAAAGCCCCAAATTTCTCTTTTAATGGTAATCATGAACCATCCATATAAAGACACTGAGAGAATGGAAATACTGATATAAATGTTCATAGTCCTTTATCTATAATTGTGAATTTGCAAAAAGATCTGGAGGGGAAAATCTACTGTTTTATTTATAAGAAAATTTACGTAAATGTATACGTAGTTCACACAGCAAAACCTGACTTGAACTAAACTCTTGGTGGAAGTACAGAGCTCAACTTCCATGATACTGTTTATAGACTTTATATTTCCTATATGTGACTATTCTTATATTTCACTACAGAGATGCTGATGCGTGTGATTCTCAAGTGCTGCCTCAGTCACTTCTGGGCTATTGCATCATATATATAGTATATGTACTATATAGCCTTTCTAAAATTAAATATATACATGGTATATATTTTATGTTTAAAATGTGTTTGTGTGTGTGTGTGTGTGTATGGTTTCTGAAACTTTACTGGCCCTGAGGATTTCTAGAGAGAGATATTTGTATACCATTAGTAGTATAGTCATGTGACTCTGGAGTCACATATTTTGTAACTGTTAACCATAATAGATTCCATCATCCTGAAGAGACAATACAGTCAACCTCCAATTTGCATATCAGTTTTGTCATTCAGAATCTGTTTTCTCATAGAATTTTTTTTACATGGTGGTTATGCATGGTGATATTATGTTTATTTAATGTACATAAGGCATAATATTAGTTCTATGGAACTTATGACAGTGTTTTAATGCAAAATATTTTTAAAGTATACCTGTCTCCTTACCTGACCCTGGCTCATCCCCAAACATAAACAAACCCCTACCACAGCCTTTACATAATTTCTGAGACTCACTTATCCCACTCGTGCAATTAGAGTAGGAATTGGAACAGGCTCAGACTACTGCTAGAGTTACATTTACCCAACAGGATACAGAATAGGGGTGGGATTCTTTTTGTATTTCCTGTCTTCACTGTTCTCTTCATTCTTTTCTTCTTTAGATCTTAGGAAGTGCCCTGTCTAAATCCTTTCCTCTTTATGCTACCCGTAGTTCTGGTATTTATTTGGAAGTAAATGGGACTAGACTTCCATCTGTCTTTACTACCTCGCCTTTATCTTTAATTTTGAATTACCCATTTGACCCTTCTCTATCTCTCAATCTTCCTTTCATAAGGAAGGCTAATGGTTTTTGCCACAATAATGACAGAAAAGAGGAAGCAAAAATACATGATAGGTGATTGCAGTTATTAAAAAAAACTGAGGCTAGAGGTAGAGGGAAGATGACAGATAGGAGACAGGGCTGACCTGCAGCTCCCACTCGGATGAATAGAACAGCATATGGAGACTCACACCATGGACTTTTGCTCCAGGAACCACCACAGGAGTATACCAGAAAAACTGAAAGAAATCACCAATCCTTTGAAAGCAGCAGCAGGCTGCTGCAAATTCTGTGAGACTGGCAAAAAACTCTGGTGCTGTCTCCAAATTGCCACCTTCTGGCTGGAGGCCAACCAACTCAGGACATTATAGCAACTCATGAACCAACAACCCCGCTCCAAGGAAAGAGAAGACAACAGTGAATTCTGCTGCCTGCAACATCCTGGCTAACCAGTGATCCTGAGTTTGTCCATGTGACTGTCACTGCTACTATAACCAGCATTCGAGAATGCTAGCACACTAAACACTTCTACAACCAATTACAGAGTCTACTTCACTCCCTGCCACCTCTACCAGAGAAGGTGCTGGTATCCATGGCTGGGAGACCGGAGTATGGATTGCATCACAGGACTCTTTGCAGACATTCCCCAGCACCAGCCCAGAGTCTGGTAGCCCCATTCAGTGGCTAGACCCGGAAGAGTGATAACAATCACTGTAGTCTGGCTCTCAGGAAGCCCCATTCCTAGGACAAAAGGGAGTGCACCATATCAAGGGATTGCCCCATGGTGCAAAAGAATCTCAACAGCAGCACTCTAGTTCCACATTTTTCCACTACCATAGTCTACCCAAATGAGAAGGAATCAGAAAAGTAATTCTGATAATATGACAAAACTAGGTTCTGTAACACCCCCAAAGACCACACTAGCTTGCTAGCAATGGATCCAAACCAAGAAGAAATCTCTGAATTGCCAGATGAAGAATTCAGAAGGTTGACTATTAAGCTATTCAAAGAGATACCAGAGAAAGGTGAAAACCATCTGAAATAAATTTTAAAAAAATACAGGATATGGATGAAGAATGCTCCAGAGAAATAGATATCATAACGAAAAAAAAAATACAACTTCTGGAAATGAAAGATAGACTTAGAGAAATACAAAATGCACTGGAAATTTCAACAATAGAATCAAACAGAAAGAAGAACTTCACACGTTGAAGACAAGGCTTTTGAATTAACCCAATGAGACAAAGGCAAAGAAAAAAGAATTTAAAGACATAAATCCTCCAAGAAATTTGGGATTATGTTAAATGGTCAAACTTAAGAATAATTGTTATTCCTGAGGAAGAAGATAAATTTAAAAGTTTGGAAAATATATCTGAGGGATTAATTGAGGAAAACTTCCCTGGCCTCACTAGAGATCTAGACATCCAATTATAAGAAATTAAAAGAACATCTGGGAAATTCATCTCAAAAGGATCATCACCCAAGCACACGGTCATCAGGTTATCCAAAGTCAAGACAAAGGAAAGAATCTTAAGAACTGTGAGTCTAAAGCATCAGGTAACCTATAAATGAAAACCTGTCAGATTAATAGCAGATTTCTCAGCAGAAACCCTACAAGCCACAAGGGACTAGGGTCCTATTTTTAGCCTCTTCAAACAAAATAATTACCATCCAATAATTTCATATCCAGCAAAACTAAGCTTCATAAATGAAAAAGAAATAAAGTTTTTCAGACAAACAAATACTGAGAGAATTTTTCACTACCAAGTGAACACTACAAGAAATGCTAAAAGGAGTTCTAAATCTTGAAACAGAATATCAAAATGCACAAAAATAGAACCTTCTTAAAGCATAAATCTCACAGAACCTATAAAAAATACCACAATGAAAAAAATCTAAGGTATTCAGGTGACAACTAGTATGATGAAGTACCTCAAATCTCCATACTAACATTGAATGCAAATGGCCTGAATACTCCACTTCAAAGGTACAGAATGGCAGAATGGATAAAACTCCACCAACCAAGTATCTGTTGTCTTCAAGAGACTCACCTAATGCATAAGGACTCATATAAACTTGAGGTAAAGGGTGGAAAAAAATATTCCATGCAAATGGAAACAAAAAGCAAGCAGGAATAGCTGTCCTTATATTAGACAAAACAGACTTTAAAGTAACAACAGTTTAAAAGACACAGACAGACATTATACAATCATAAAAGGATCAGACCAATAGGAAAATATTATAATTGTAAAGATACGTGCACCTAACATAGGAGCCTCCAAATTTATAAAATAATTATTACTAGGCCTAAGAAATAAGATAAACAGCAACACAATAATAGTGGGGGGACTTCAGTACTCCACTGAGAACACTTGACAGGTCATCAAGACGGAATGTCAACAAAGAAACAAATTACACCCTAGAAAAAATGGACTTAACAGATATTTGCAGAACATTATACCTAACAACTGCAAAATAGACATTCTTTTCATCACCACATGAAACATTCTCCGTGATAGACCATACGATAGACCACAAAGTAAGTCTCAATAAATTTAAGAAAATAAATTATATCAGGTACCCTCTCAGACCACAGTGGAATAAAATTGGAAATTAACTCCAAAAGGAACCTCAAAACCATACACATACATGGAAATTAAAGAATCTGCTCCTGAATGATCTTTGGGTCAACAATGAAAACAAGATGGAAGTAAAAAATTATCTGAACTGAATGATAATAGTGACACAACTTATCAAAACCTCTGGGACACAGGAAAAATGGTGCTAAGAGGAAAGTTCATAGCATTAAATGCCTACATGAAAAACTCTGAAAGAGCACAAATAGACGATCTAAGGTCAGACCTCAAGGAAGTAGAGAAACAAGAACAAACCAAATCCAAACCCAACAGAAGAAAAGAAATAACAAAGATCAGAGCAGAACTAAATGAAATTGAAACACAAAACAATACAAAAGAAAATGAAATAAAAAGCCAGTTATTTGAAAAGATAAACAAAATTGATAGACCATTAATAAGATTAATGAAGAAAAGAGATGATTCAAATAAGCTCAATTAGAAACAAAATGGGAGATACTACAAACAATACCACAGATATACAAAAGATCATTCAAGCCTACTATGAACACCTTTACACGCACAAAATAGAAAATCTGAAGGAGATGGATAAATTCCTGGAAATATACAAGCCTCCTAGATTAAATCAGGAAGAAGTAGAAACTCTGAACAGAAAAATAACAACTAGCGAGATTGAAACAGTAATTTAAAAATTGGCAACAACAACAAAAAAGTCCAGAACCAGATGGATTCACAGCTGAATTTTATCAAGCATTCAAAGAAGAATTGGTACCAATTTTACTGAAACCATTCCAAAAGATAAAGATAGAGAGAATCTTCCCTAAATCATTCTATGAAGCCAGTATCATCCTAATACCAAAACCAGGAAAGGACATAACAAAAAAAAGAAAACCATAGGCCAATATCTGTAATGAACATAGATGCAAAAATTCTCAACAGAATACTAGCAAACCGAATCCAACGGCATATCAAAATGATAATACACCATGATAAAGTGGGGTTTCATACCAGGGATGCAGGGATGGTTTAACATACTGCAAGTAAATAAATGTGATACGTCACATAAGCTGAATTAAAAACAAAAATTATATGATTATTTCAATAGATACAGAAAAAACATTTGACAAAACACAGCATTTTTTTATGATTAAAATCCTCACCAAAGACAGCATAGAAGGGATATACCTCAAAGTAATAAAAGCCATGTATGACAAACTCACAGCCAACATCATATGGAATGGGGAAAAGTTGAAAGCATTCTTCCTGACAACTGGAACAAGACAAGGATGTCCACTTTCACCACTTCTATTCAACATAGTGAATCAGACCCATAACAATCAGACAAGAGAAAGAAATAAAGGGCATCCAAGAGGAAGTCAAACTATCGCTGTTTGCTGATGATATGATTATATACCTAGAAAACTCTAAAGATTTTTCCAAAAAGATATGATAAATGAATTCAGTAATGTCTCAGGATTCAAAATCAATGTGCACAAGTCAGTAGCACTGCTATATGCCAACAATGACCAAGCTGAGAACTCAACTTCTTTTACAACATCTGCAAAGAAAATAAAATGCTTAGGAAATCTACCTAACCAAGGTGGTGAAAGGCCTCTACAAGGAAACAAAACACTGCTGAAATGAATCGTCAACAATATAAACAATGGAAACACATCCCATACTCACAGATGGGTAGAATCAATGTTCTGAAAATGACCTTACTGCCAAAAGTAAGCTACAAATTCAGTGCAGTTCCCATCAAAATACCATCATCATTCTTCACAGAACTAGAAAAAACAATCCTCAAATTCATATAGAACCAAAAAAGAACCCGCATAGCCAAAGCAAGACTAAGCAAAAAGAACAAATCTAGAGGCATCACATTACCTGACTTCAAACTGTACTACAAGGCTATAGTTACCAAAACAGCATGGTACTGATATCCAAATAGGCACGTAGACCAATAGAATAGAATAGAACACCCAGAAATAAAGCCATATGCTTACAGCCAACTGATCTTCAACAAAATAAACAGAAACATAAAGTGGAGAAAGGATACCCTATTCAAAAAATCATGCTAGGATAATTGGCAAGCCACATTTAGAAGAATGAAGCTGGATCCTTATCTCTCACCTTATACAAAAATCCATTCAAGACAGATCAAAGACTTAAATATAAGACCTGAAACCATAAAAATTCTAGAAGATAACATTGGAGAAACTCTACTAGACATTGGCTTAGGCAAAGAGTTGATGACCAAGAACCCAAAAGCAAATGCAACAAAAACAAAAACAAAGATAAACGGATGGGACCTAATTAAACTAAAAAGTTTCTGCACAGCAGAAGAAGTAATTAGCAGAGTAAACAGACAACCCAAGAGTATGAGAAAATATTCTGCAACTATGCATCTGACAAAGGACTAATATCTGGAATCTACAAGGAACTCAAACAAATCATCAAGAAAGAAACAGTCCCATCAAAAAGTCAGCAAAGGATATAAATAGACATTTCCCAAAGGAAGACATATAAATGGCCAATAAACATGGAAAAATGCTCAGCATCACTTATTATCAGGTAAATAAATGCAAACCAAAACCATGATGAGATACCACCTTACTCCAGCAAAAGTGGCCATAATTAAAAAATCAAAAAATAACAGATGTTGGCATGGATGTGGTGAAAAGGAAACACTTTTACACTGCTGGTGGGAATGTAAACTAGTACAACCACTGTGGAAAACAGCGTGGAGATTCCTTAAAGAACTAAAAGTAGAACTACCATTTGACCCGGCAATCCCAATACTGGGTATCTACCTAGAGGGAAATAAGTCATTATACGAAAAAGACACTTGCACATGCATGTTTATCTCAGCACAATTTGCAATTGCAAAAATAAAGAACCAGCCTAAATGTCCATCAACCAACAAGTGGATAAAGAAAATGTGATGTGTATGTATATACCATGGAATACTACTCAGCCATAAAAAGGAATGAAATAGTGGTATCCACAGCAACCTGGATGGAGTGGGGACCGTTATTCTAAGTGAAGTAACCATTATTCTAAGTGAGTAACATTGTGTGTTCTCACTTACAAGTGGGAGCTAAGCTATTAGAATGCAAATGCATAAGAATAATATAATGGACTTTGGGTACTCAGGAGTAAGGGTTGGGGGGTGAGGGATAAAGACTACACATTGGGTACAGTATATACTGCTCAGGTGATAGGTTCACCAAAATCTCAGAAATCTCCATTAAAGAACTTTTCTATGCAACCAAACACCACCTGTTCCCCCAAAACTTTTGAAATTAAAAAAAAAAAAAAATTTAAACAAAACAAAACAAAAACTGAGGCCAGGAAGAAAGAATATTGAAGTACTGTTGCCAAGAAGTTAGAAAAGCTAGCTTCTTATCTATCATGACCTTTTTTTTTTTGACGGAGTATCGCCCTGTCACCCAGGCTGGAGTGCAGTGGCGCGATCTTGGCTGACTGCAACTTCTGCCTTGAGGGTTCAAGTGATTCTCCTGTCTCAGCCTCTCGCGTAGGTGGGATTACATGCCACCACGGCCAGCTGATTTTTGTATTTTTAGTAGAACAGGGTTTCACCATGTTGGTCAGGCTGGTCTTGAACTCCTGACCTCAAGTGATTCACCCACCTTGGCCTCCGAAAGTGTTAGGATTACAGGAGTGAGCCACCGCACCTGGCTGGTAGACTGCTTTTAAACTAATATCCTAGAAACTATCTATGCAAACAGGCAACTTACAAAGTAATCTCATAGGAGGCTATGCACTATGTCATTAATGCTGCTTTGCTTAAACACTGGAAACTCCTAAGGTTGTCTTCAGAGACTTTGCTGTTATTTTGAATGTTATTTGTATTATCAGTCATTTTTTTGAGGGTTATGTTTGATTTTTACAGACAGCTGTCTTTGTGAATAATGTCTGATGAGGCAGGTTTTTGATTTTGTGTTTTGTTTGTTAGATTTTTGGTCAAAAGCAAGTAAAAATTAAAAATAGATTTTTGTGGAGCTTTAAAATTCATTATTATACTGGGTATAGAAGAGAGTTCAAAGCTGTTTTGAATAATTGTAGCCCTGTGATCTTGTACTTTAAATGCAGCAACATCTATTTAGTATATAGGTTTTTATATATTGATTTAAAATACATGCTCATTATTATTCTTAACTATATTAGTGTACAAGTGTATTTAAATATTCAGATATTGACACACATATAATATATGTTCATTGAGATGTTGAGGCTATGGAAATTTCAGTGTAAAAGAAAGAATTTTCTTAAAAACCTAGCATGTATCAGTGTATCTTTGTTGTTTTGAGATGACGAATCTATCTGGAAGAGCAGAAGAAACTGAATTGGAATAACATAATTATTACAAGAACTACTTATTAAGTACCCACAAAATAACAGGTAATTTCTGAATATTGTGTATTTGTTATCATATTTCATTTTCATAACAATTCTTGGAGAAACTTGTTGTGTTCTCTTTTATAGATAAAGAAACTAAGGTACAGAGAGCTGAAGAGACATGCCCATGATCACATGGTTATAAGTGGCAGAGCCTTCCATGCCTCTGACTTTTTTTAACTGCCCTAAATTTCTTAGACCATGCTTAATGCTACTGGCACTGTACTTCAACTAACTGAATGTATATTGTTACTTGTATGTTGAGACCTTGTTTTTGTAAATACAGTTCCAACAGATTAATTGTAGTGCTCATTATTTGTACTCTACTGGCAGTATTTTAAAGTGTGGTGTATTGGAGCTCTTTCCTTGCATAAAACTCTACAAATTATTTACTCTGACCCAAAAGACATGATTGATTTGGCCACCCTCATTTATAATCCAAATTGACTTGCCAATTTTGGACACACCAAGCTTGTTTCCACTTCAGATCATTTACACAAATTGTTCCCTCTGCATGTTATTACTTTCAGTCATTCAATGTCTGTTTCCTGTTAGATCTCAGCTTGAATGTCAACTCCTAAGAGAAGTTATCATAGAAGACTTGAGGAAATCATTTTCATAGGTACCCTTTAAGTAGTATTTAACTATAGTTAGTGGTATGACTATATAAAGCAGTTCCAAAAAATGAATGAAGCCAGGGTGTTATCTGTATTGATATTTTGAAATATTGATGTTTTTCCTATCAGGCACAGTACTAAAATCCTTATTTTGTAAAATCTGGATGAGAATGTTATTAAAAACAAATCACAGTTAATTTTCTAAAAGCCTAATTAAATATTTAAGAAGAAGAAAAATAACTCATGGAATGCCAGCTACAAGCCAGGTACATATAGCTATACATAGAGATAATAGGTATAGAATCTGCTGCTCAGAGAGTAAGATAAGTGACTTGACTAAGATTCTGCAGGTACTTTGCTGCACAACAGGATTTAAACCTAGGTGAATCTGATTTCAAAGCTAGTGTTTTTTCTATACTCAGTGCTGCCTCATAACTCCAGCGTATAAAAGGCCAGGTGAATCATCCTGAATTATTGGAAGCTAGCAGGGTATAAATAATAAATGAATAAATAAAACTGTGGCAAGTGATTTTACTTTGTTCACTAAATATAGTTAAAAGATTGACATTCCCAGCATATGCCTAATCACTTGGAAATGTTGGATCACTTTTAGTAAATCCAGATTCAGCAGCCCTATTTAACAGGTGGAAAAATGTTACTTGTTATAAAAATGCTTATTTTCAAATTCCTAAAAGAACACAGTGAATATTCAGATAACATTTTTTAAAGTACTTGAAAGTGAACATTTTTCCCTTATTCTGTTGCTTAATAATTAAACTACTTCTTTGTGATATTTCTACATTAGATATTATAGGAAATAAGAAATATAAATCTGCTCAAGAAATGATTTATAGCTGACCACCTCATATTTTGTATTATTGGTTTCATTATTTAATCCCTGTAATACACATGCAATCTGTATGTAAGTAAAAAGTGTATATGATTTACTTAGTACCAAAGTGCTATAGTAATATAGGGTGTATTTTGAAGACTTTATTTTTAGGTTCATACTGATTCCTCTCTTATAAAAGGTGGAAACAATTAACAATTAGATTTAACATTATAAAGTATTGTAGGGTGTGCAGAATAAAGCAGATGTGCACATTTATATAGATTACTTATGAGCAATACAT